>NC_000009.12:31979696-32131212 GCF_000001405.40 Homo sapiens | reverse complement strand
TGTATATTCTGTTGATTTGGGGTGGAGAGTTCTGTAGATGTCTATTAGGTCCACTTGATTAGAGCTGAGTTCAAGTCCTGAATATTCTTGTTAATTTTCTGTCTCATTGATCTGTCTAATATTGACAGTGAGGTGTTAAAGTCTCCCACAATTATTGTGTGGGAGTCTAAGTCTCTTTGTAGGTCTCTAAAAACTTGTTTTATGAATCTGGGTGCTCTTGTATTGCGTGCATATATGTATTTATGATAGTTAGCTCTTCTTGTTGAATTGATCCCTTTACCATTATGTAACGCCCTTCTTTGTCTTCTTTGATGTTTGTTGGTTCAAAGTCTGTTTGGTCAGAGAGTAGGATGCAATACCTGCTTTTTTTTTTTTTTTTTTTTTTTTTTTTTGCTTTCCATTTGCTTGGTAAATTTTCCTCCATCCCTTTATTTTAAGCCTATGTGTGTCTGCATGTGAGATGGGTCTCCTGAATACAGCATACTGATGTGTTTTGACCCTTTATCCAATTTTTCAATCTGTGTCTTTTAATTGGGGACTTTAGTCTATTTACTTTTAAGGTTTATATTGTTATGTGTGAATTCGATCCTGTCATCATGATGCTAGCTGGTTATTTTGCACACTAGTTGATGCAGTTTCTTCATAGTGTCTTTGGCCTTTATATTTTGGTGTGTTTTTGCAGTGACTGGTACTGGTTTTTCCTTTCCATAGTTAGTGCTTCCTTCAGGAGCTCTTGCAAGGCACTCCTGGAGGTGATGAAATCCCTCAGCATTTGCTTGTTTGCAAAGGATTTTATTTCTCCTTCACTTATGAAGCTTAGTTTGGCTGCATATGAAATTCTGGGATGATAATTCTTTTCTTTAATAATGTTGAATATTGCCACCACCGCCCCCTTTCTGGCTTATAGAGCTTTTGCTGAGAGATCCACTGTTAGTTAGTCTGATGGGCTTCTCTTTGTAGGTTACCTGGCCTTTCTCTCTGGCTGCCCTTAACATTTTTTTCCTTCATTTTGACCTTGGAGAATCTGATCATCGTGTGCCTTGGGGTTGATCTTCTTGTGAGTATCTTAATGGTGCTCTCTGTATTTCCTGAATTTGAATGTTGGCCTGACTTGCTAGGTTGGGGAAGTTCTCCTGGATAATATCCTGAAGTGTGTTTTCCAACTTGGTTCCATTCTCCCCATCTCTTTCAGGTACTCCAATCAATTGTAGGTTCAGTCTTTTTACATAGTCCCATATTTCTGGAAGGTTTTGTTTATTCCTTTTCATTCTTTTTTCTCTAATCTTGTCTGCCTGCCTTATTTCAGCAAGATGGTCTTCAAACTCTGATATTCTTTCTTCTGCTCGATCGATTCATCTATTGATACTTGTGTATGCTTCACGAAGTTCTTGTGTTGTGTTTTTCAGCTCCATCAGGTCATTTATGTTCCTCTCTAAATTGGTTATTCTAGTTAGCAGCTCCTGTAATCTTTTATCAAGGTTGTTAGCTTCTTTGAATTGGGTTAGAACTTGCTCCTTTAGCTCAGTGGAGTTTGTTATTACTCATCTACTGAAGCCTACTTCTGTCAATTTGTTCAACTTATCCTCCGTCCAGTTCTGCACCCTTGCTGGAGAGGTGTTGTGATCATTTGAAGGAGAAAAGGCACTCTGGCTTTTGAGTTTTCAGCATTTTTTCGTTGATTCTTTCTCATCTTCATGAGTTTGTCTAGTTTGATCTTTGAGCTTGCTGACCCTTGGATGAGGTTTTTGTGGGAACTTTGTGTTAATGCTATTGTTGTTGCTTCCTGTTTGTTGTTTTTTTTCTTTCAATGGTCGGGTCCCTCTTCTGTAGGGCTGCTGTGGTTTGCTGGGAGTTCACTTCAGGCCCTATTCATCTGGTTCACTCCTGCACCTGAAGATATCACTTGAGGAGGCTGGAGAACAGAAAAGATGGGTGCCTGCTCCTTCCTCTGGGATCTCTGAACTCGAGGGACACCGACCTGATGCCAGTAGAAATGCTCCTGTACAGGGTATCTGACAACCCAGTTGGGTGTCACAGGGAGCAGGGCCCGTTTAATGAAGCACTTTGATTGTCCCTTGGTGGAGAGGGTATGCTGCGCTGGGGGGGAACTGCCTCGTCTGGGCTGCCTGGATTCCTCAGAACTAGCAGGAAAGACTAAGTCTGCTGGTCTGCGGAGGATAGGGCTATCCCTCTTGCTAGGGGCTCAGGCCAAGGGAGATCAGAGTTCTGTCTCTAGCCCCTGGCTGGAGTTATTGGAGTTCATGCAGGGAGGTCCTGCTCAGTGAGGAGGGATGGGTCAGGGTCAGGCCTGAAGAGGCACTCTGGTGCAGTCTGCCACAGCTGGTTTATTGGGCTGTGGGGAATACCTCTTAGGACCACACTGTCAGGCACCTTGGCTCCAGTAGGGGAAAAGCCTGGCCTGGAACTATAGAGATGGCTGCTGCCCATCCCCCGCCCCAGGAGCTTAGTGTGTTAGGCAGCTATGGTCCTAGTGTTGGCTGCTGCCCCTCACACAAGAAGCTCAGATGGCTTAGAGAGCAGGCAGCTGCCCCTCCCCCAGGGAACTCAGCAGGCCTAAGCAGATTCTAGCTGAGTGGCTGTTGAGAATCTGCGCAGCTCCGTGGTTGGGACTCTAGGCCCTGGTGGCATGGGCTCATGATTCATGGGTTGCACAGTTCCGTGGAAAGCGCACAGTTTCCCTGGCTGGGTAGCCCACTCCCTCACCGCCTCCCTTGGCTGGGGGAGTGGGAGCTGCCTGGTTATGTGGGGCTCTCAGGTGGGCCGCAGCACCACACTGCTCTTCCTACCTCTCTGTGGGTCACACCAGCTGCCTAGTCAGTCCTGATGACACAACCTGGATACCTCAGTTGCCTATGCTGGATTTGCATGGTGTTTTGGTTCTTTTAGATGGGAACCTCCCATCACGGCTGCTTCTAGTTGGCCATCTTGGCCCCGCACCCTCCCATGTTATATTTTAAAGCTTCTTAAATATTATGTTTCCCAATAATTATGCATGCTGTTTCCTTGCAATGTTTCTATTAAAGAATAGAAGAAAAATATTGTAAGCCTCTCCATTGAAAAGGAAAAGTTTTCTTTTGATAATATTATTGTCAATCAAAGCATAAAAGAGAGAACCAATGATCAGGTCATGTACAAGGAACTTAGCTAAGGAAGAACCACTCTTTAGGCTGTCTCTTGATATAAGAATGGTTTCTGGTCTGCTTAGATATATTTCAAAATTCCAAAAAAAAAAAAAAGCCAGCAAAAACATGAGAAACTGATGTGGATAATATCTAATTAAAATTTAATGTTAACTTTAATGGCAAGTAAGAGTGATCAAATCAATAATCCATGTGTCTGATGTATGTTTGCAGAAATTATGAGCATTTTACTCATTGTCTTCTTGAAAGAAGAAAGAAGTATACCCGACTCTGGCTAAGAAACCTCTGAAACAACTGAAAAGTATACTTGCTAGAAATCTCTAGACCCATGTTTCAGTCCTGGGGCTTCCAATAAGTTATTATACGACAGACAAAATTCCTTAACTTGTGTAGGCTTCATGTTCTTCTTCTGTAAATAGGCCATAATAAGCTGCATGATGTGAAAAATAAAACCCTTTCTACTCAAATAATTACAAATATAAAGAGGCAGCGAATAAATGGTCCACGATCAAATTAACTAAATCTTTGTAACAAAAAGTTAGTATAAAATTACGTATTACATATTTGGGGGAAAATACTTGCTAACTCTGCCTCTCAAACCTATCCCGCCTCCCACAAGAAAACAGAAGCATTTTATTGAAAACTTGTAATTACGAGAAATCAGGGAGATTATCACTTTCCAATATGATGGAGTAGCTTGCAGCCTCTCCAATCTCCCTTTGAGGGAAACACGATTAAACTGATTTAAAAAGGCAGAGATTCCCAGCATGAAACCACGCAAGAAATGGTGGCTAAGCAGAGTTTTTGCTGGTCTCACAGGACTGGGGAGGCCAAGTGAGAGACCATGGCTCCCATGGCAATGAAATTGAGATTCCAGAGAGAAGGGAAGCACTGAGAAGCCAGTCCACCCTCAGCACTGCTTTTCACCTTGAGGAATTGCTGGTTAGTATGTGACCCATTCCTAGGGTAAAGCCAAGGTAAAGGCTCAGGTAAGAGGTTGAGACACTAGGTAGAGCCTTCAAGGGTCTTGTCCTGGGGAGATGAAAAGTAGAATTCAGTAGCTGCCAAAGAACAGAAATCCATGAAGAGCCCAGGGGCAGGGATATAGCTAAATTTAAATGAGCATTATCTGTGCAGAATAATAAAAGTAGTGTCATGTTGCATTAAATATTTATGTTAAACATGTAATTAAATATATAACACATAGTGATATAGTTTGTCTGTGACCCCACCCAAATATCATCTTGCATTGTAGCCATAATTCCCACGTGCTGTGGGAGGAACCTGGTGGGAGATAATCGAATAATAGAGGCAGTTTCACCCATATTGTTCTCATGGTAGTGAATAAGTCTCACGAGGCCTGATGATTTTATGAAGGGTTTCCCCTGTTGCTTAGCTCTTATTTTCTCTCTTGCCTGCTGCCATGTAAGATATGCCTTTCACCTTCCACTATGATGTGAGGCCTCCCCAGCCACGTGGAACTGTGAGTCCATTAAACCTCTTTTTCTTTATAAATTACCCAGTCTTAGGTATGTCTTTATCAGGAGCTTGAAAACGGACTACTACGCACACGTTAATTATATAATTAAAATTCATGGCAATAATAACTCAAGACACAGAGATTGGCTGGGCGCGGTGGCTCACGCCTGCAATGCCAGCACTTTGAGAGGGTGAGGCGGGAGGATTACAAGGTCAGGAGATTGAGACCATCCTGGCTAACACGGTGAAACCCCATCTCTACTAAAAATACAAAAAGTTATCCGGGAGTGGTGGCAGGCCCCTGCAGTCCCAGCTACTCAGAAGGCTGAGGCAGGAGAATGGCGTGTACCCGGGAGGCGGAGCTTGCAGTGAGCCGAGATCATGCCAGGGCACTCCAGCCCGGGCGACAGAGCGAGACTCCATCTCAAAAAAAAAAAAAAAAAAAAAAAAAAAACCCACAGAAATTTAGTGTTCTAAGGTCATAAGTTTGTCAGGCAAGTGAGATAAGTACTAATATATATTAGACCATAATAAGTCAAAGAAACTTGTTTTAATCCCAAAGATATCATTAAAAATAATAAATAAACAAGCTAATAAAGGAGGAGACCAAAATATAAAAATACTTGATTATTTTCAAAAAAGATAAGAAAAGAGAAAAAAGAAGCAAAGGACCTCTAAAAGAAATATAACATGGTAGATTTCAATTAAAAGACATTGATACTAACATTAAATGAAGAAGACTAAATATTCCAATTGAAAGGCCAAGATTATCAGTGGATAAAAAGGAAAAACATACCTATAATTCTTCTTAGAAGACACATAACTTAAATGTGAGCAAGTAGTACAAGTTGGAGTTAAAAGGTTGGAGAACCTGATATACAACGCAAATTCTGCCTGCTTTTATTTTCCCCACTCCAACCAAACCAAACCAAAACAAAAAGCTGGTGAGGCCAGATTAATATAATATCATTCAATAGAATTAAAGGCAAGGTAAATAAACAGATTCATTGCATATGGGTCATTTCACCTGAAAGATGTAAAACTCTAAATTTGTTTTCACCTAATTATATGGCTTTATGATGTATAAACAAACACTAACAGACAAAGTGAAATGGAAAAATTCACAATCATAGAGGAAGGCTATATAACCTATGTCTCTTAGTAATGGGTGGAATGAATAGGCAAAATTTAGTAAAGAAGGCTTGAACAAAATGATTAACAATTGTGAGGAACTGAAATACATGAAGGCTAGTTCATGTCAGATACAACTCCCAAAGTCAGTCTTTTGAAGTGCACATGGAAAATTTACTAAAATTAAACTATATATTGGTTCATAAAGCAAGTCACAACACATTTTGAATAACTAGAAATTATGTCAAGGATGTTTTCTGACCACAGTGGAATTAAAGATAGAATGTGATAACAAAAAGAAAAATATAAAATTCCCAGATGTTTTGGAATTAAGCAATATCATTCAATATAACTTATGGGAAGAGAAGAAAGTCATCATGTAAATTTAAAATATTTTTAACGAGTTTAATAGTTTGTCTACATTTTTTACTTTTCTGTAGGACCATGTCTCACTGTACTGCCCAGGCTGGTCTTAAACTCCTGATCTCAAGCAATCCTCCAAAGTGCTGGGATTATAGAAGTAAGCCACTGTGCCTGGCCTACTTTATCTATAGTTTTAAGAAAGATTTTCTAGGTGTAAAATCATGCCATTTGAAAATCACAGCAGTTTTATTTGTTTTTTCCCTTTTTGAACTTAATTTATTCTGTATTTATTTTTCTTGCTGCTAGCGCAATGTGAAAGAGTATTGTAGGCAGGTATCTTTGACTATTTCCTGATCTTAAGGGGAAAGTTTTCAATATTTCACCATTAAATGTAATGTTTGTATGTAATTTTTTTTTAAGAGTCTCTATCCATTGCCTGGGCTGGAAGGCAATGGTGCATAGCTCACTGCAACCTTGAACTCCTGACTTCATGAATCCTCTCACTTGGCCTCCCAAAGTGCTGGCATTATGAGTGTGAGCTACCACATATGGTTGTAAATTTTACTTTTAAAAAAAATTTTTTTTATTATACTTTAACTTCTAGGGTACATGTGCACAATGTGCAGGTTTGTTACATATGTATACATGTGCCATGTTGGTGTGCTGCACCCACTAACTTGTCATTTACATTAGGTGTATCTCCTAATGCTATCCCTCCCCCCTCCCCACACCCCACAACAGGCCCCGGTGTGTGATGTTCCCCTCCCTGTGTCCGAGTGTTCTCATTGTTCAACATGCGGTGTTTGGTTTTTTGTCCTTGCGACAGTTTGCTGAGAATGATGGTTTCCAGCTTCATCTCTGTCCCTACAAAGGACATGAACTCATCATTTTTTATGGCTGCATAGTATTCCATGGTGTATATGTGCCACGTTTTCTTAATCCAGTCTATCATTGTTGGACATTTGGGTTAGTTCCAAGTCTTTGCTATTGTGAGTAGTGCCGCAATAAACATATGTGTGCATGTGTCTTTATAGCAGCATGATTTATAATCCTTTGGGAATATACCCAGTAATGGGATGGCTGGGTCAAATGGTATTTCTAGTTCTAGATCCCTGAGGAATCGCCACACTCTCTTCCACTATAGTTGAACTAGTTTACAGTCCCACCAACAGTGTAAAAGTGTTAGTATTTTTCCACATCCTCTCCAGCACCTGTTGTTTCCTGACTTTTTAATGATCACCATTCTAACTGGTGTGAGATGACATCTCATTGTGGTTTTGATTTGAATTTCTCTGATGGCCAGTGATGATGAGCATTTTTTCATGTGTCTTTTGGCTGCATAAATGTCTTCTTTTGAGAAGTGTCTGTTCATATCCTTCGCCCACTTTTCGATGGGGTTGTTTGTTTTTTTCTTGTAAATTTGTTTGAGTTCTTTGTAGAATCTGGATATTAGCCCTTTGTCAGATGAGTAGATTGCAAAAATTTTCTCCCATTCTCTAGGTTGCCTGTTCACTCTGATGGTAGTTTCTTTTGCTGTGCAGAAGCTCTTTAGTTTCATTAGATCCCATTTGTCAATTTTGGCTTTTGTTGCCATTGCTTTTGGTGTTTTAGATATGAAGTACTTGCCCATGCCTATGTCCTGAATGGTATTGCCTAGGTTTTCTTCTAGGGTTTTTTTGGTTTTAGGTCTAACATTTAAGTCTTTAATCCATGTTGAATTAATTTTTGTATACGGTGTAAGGAAGGGTCCAGTTTCAGCTTTCTACAGTTTTCCATGGATAGGAAGAATAAATATCGTGAAAATGGCCATACTGCCCAAGGTAATTTATAGATTCAATGCCATCCCCATCAAGCTACCAATGACTTTCTTCACAGAATTGGAAAAAACTACTTTAAAGTTCATATGGAACCAAAAAAGAGCCCGCATTGCTAAGTCAATCCTATGCCGAAAGAACAAAGCTGGAGGCATCACGCTACCTGACTTCAAACTATACTACAAGGCTACAGTAACCAAAACAGGATGGTACTGTTACCGAAACAGAGATATAGACCAATGGAACAGAACAGAGCCCTCAGAAATAATACCACACATCTACAACTATCTGAACTTTGACAAACCTGACAAAAACAAGAAGTAGGGAAAGGATTCCCTATTTAACAAATGGTGCTGGTAAATTTTACTTTCATATGAACTTCAGGATCAGCTTCTCAGAAAGCTAAAATATAGCCAAATCTTGAAAGAAGCAGAAACCTGGAAGACTTACACTATCAGAAACCAAACATTGTAAAGCTGCAGCAATTAAGGCAGTATACTATTAGACAAAGATAGAGGGACCAAAAGGATAGAGTCTAGAAATAGATTCAGACATATATGATCACTTGATTTTATGACAAAAATGATGCTGCAGTTTGGTAGAAAAAGGATGGCTTTTCAATCAATGGTGCTTGGTATTTGAATATCCATGTGAGGAAAAAATGATTCCTGATCCCTGCTTTGTAATATAAATAAAAATCAATTTCTAATACATTGGATTGTAAGTCTAAATGTTACAAGTAGAACAGAAGAATGTAACCTTGCAGTAGGTGGGTTTTAAAAAAAAACAAGATATAAAAGCACTAATTATAAATGAAAGCTTCAAATATCAGACTTCATTAAATTAAGTATTGTTGTTCATCCAAGTGTTATATTAAGAAAGTGAAAAATCACAGACTGGGAGAAGACATCTGTAGTACATATATCTGACAAAAGTCTTGTATCCAGAATATATAAAGAACTCCTACAACTCAAAGGGAAAGAAAGATAGACAACCCAAACTGTCTCAAATATATACAAAAAGATATCCAAATAGTCAACAAACAAACAATAATGTGCTCCACCTTATTGCTTTTCAGGGAAATGGAAGTTAAGACTTCAATGTTGAAATGAGATTCTATAATACATTAACCAGAATGGCTAAAATGAAAGACTGATAATATTAAAAGTTGATGAGGATGTGGAGCTACTGGAGCTCTCATACACTGCTGCTAGGGAGTTTAAAATGGTAGAACCACTTTGCATAACATTATGTAATAAAACTGAATACTCTTTCCATTTGATCCAACAATTTCACTCCTAGATAGATAACCAAGAGGAACAAATGCATACACATGTGCACCAAAAAGATTTACACGAATCTTCATAACAGCATTTGTTAATAGCTTCAAACTGGAAACACCTGAAAGTCATTTCACAGTTACAGAGATAAATAACTGTTGGTATACTCATACAATAAAATAACCTACGGGACTAAGAATAAATGAGCTAACTGCTACATATAACAAAAGAATTGAAGCTTACGAGCTTAATATTGATGGATGAAAGCCAATAAATATATATTGCACAATTCTAGAGTTCAAAAATGTACAAAATTTACCTATGATGATGGATAATGGTTACTTCTGGTGGAACTGCTAATGACCTGGATGCTGGAGAGAGTGGGCTTCTTGGGTGCTGGTGTATTCTGTGTTTTGATCTCGATAGTGATTACATGGATGTGTTCAGTTTGTAAATCTCTTTAACTTCGATAAAACATTTAAAAAACTCATTAGATTCTAGATAACAGTGTGACATAATTTATCTTTAATATTATCAAAGGAAAGGTCAAATCTAAACTGAAGATTCATAATGGAAATATTAGCTGCCTCCAGTCTTACCTTTAAATAAAATATATGAAATGTCTTTGAATGTGAGGCAATAAATTAGATTAAAATATATAGTCACATTGCAATTAAAAATCGGAAGATTAACCATCTATGCACAGTATAAATCAGGGTAGAGAGATTATTTGAAGAAAAACAATCTAGACATAATGAACCTTGAGATAGTAAAATGTCAGAAGTGGTTACAGGCCTAGATTTAGATATCTGTGAAATATATGGAATGACAGTCTTTATTCCAAATTGAGAACAGAACTGCTTAGTGACTGCTTAGTTTCTTTTATGGTTTTAAATATGAGGGTTTTTATTTTATTTTATTTTTTTGAGACGGAGTCTTGCTCTGTCACCCAGGCTGTAGTGCAGTGGCTTGATCTTGGCTCACTGCAACCTCCGCCTCCCAGGTTCAAGTGATTCTCCTGCCTCAGCCTCCCAAGTACCTGGGATTACAGGCACCCACCACCATGCACGACTAATTTTTTTTGTATTTTTAGTAGAGAAGAGGTTTCACCATGTTGGCCAGGCTGGTTTTGAACTCTTGACCTCAAGTGATCCACCCGCCTCAGCCTCTCAAAGTGCTGCACAAGGTATTCTCACAGTTAAGATGGATTGAACATATGCATGTTTAAGCTAATTTTTGGGTAGTAATCTGGCAAAATATTTCCCCTGTATATATCGGGTGGGAAAATGCAAGGAATGCCTAAAGCTTTTTCCAGAAACAGTAGGCCGTGTGTTGTGTCTTCACAGCCCTGTGGTGGAGTGATTGATTTCTAAGTGAAGGTCTTTGGCAATCTCACCAACAGACAGTTAGTGATTACCCATCAATGCTAGTAAAATTAAAAAATAAATGGTATCAGATATTTTACTAAGAGAATCCACTAAAGTGTTATGGTTAAAAATACTGCAGAGACATAAAGAATTTTTATTCCTTGCAAATGTAAATACCAATAGTTTTTAATATAAGTCTGTGAAGATGTTTTGTAGCAGATGAAAATAGTCTTTTGGTATTTTGTAATTATGAGAAGCTATAATGCTCGTCTATTCATCTCTGAAGGGACCAAAAGAGAGAAAGAGAGATTGAGAGACTCGGTAAAGTGTGTGCATCACTGCTTTTCTCTGTCTAGGGGAAAAATGCAAAGGCAATTCCTACTTTTCTTGGAAAGCCTTTAAAAATGGGAAAGAAAGATGAGAGAGACAATCTCATTTTTTTAAGACCACAAAGACTACTGAAGATCATTTTATTTAAGCAATTGTCTTAGCATCCCTTTTGCTATGACTGATTTCAAGGCTCCCGCTTTCCCTCATCCGTACTGCCAACCTTCCTGACTAGTCACTGTAAGCTCCCACCTAAATCTTGGAAGAGTCTTTTAAAGATTCTGCTTATTTCTGCTTTACCCCTCACCAACCCTTTCTTCACTCCAGACCCTAAGTGATTATTTTAATGCAAAATATCATCATGGAATTCCCTTGCTTAATACTCTTGAGCAAAGTCTCATTGCATAGAGGAGGGCAAATGCACAGGTCTGTGGGATGTGGTCCCTGCCAACTTCCCCAGCCTCATCTCACAGTGCTCTCCCCTTCTCATGCAGCTCCAGCCACAGCAAACTTCTTCCAGTTTCTGATAAGCTCCCTGTTCTTTCTTGTCCCAGGGAATGTGCTCAGTCCTGGGGCCATCTACCTCCCCCACCTTTTCTTCTCATCCAGTCTAAATCAGGTCTCTCCAAACCCTTTACTTTTCCATTATAACACATAATATGTGCATTCCTGTGTTTATTTATTTCAAATATATCTATCCCTGTACACTACAAACTTCATGAGGCATAGGAATATAATTATTTTGGTTTTCATTATATTTCTACTATCTAAGACAGTGACTGGCATATAGCAAGTGTTCAATAGATGTTAGTTACATAAACTAATAAATTTGATACAAACATGAATCAGAAAGTAAAATTACTGGTTGTATCTTGTTATCTGTTCATTTAGGGTTTTAATTCAAATTTATTTGTAATAAAAAAGTTTCATTCTGTTTCTTCTCCATTTAACTCCTATGGTTTAGAATTCTGAAGGTAGAAGAAAGGTAAATATCATTAAGTTTAAATTTTTCATTTTATTGATAAGAAAAATGAGACTTGGAAGAGGCCAGGAGATACTGACTAGTTTGGGCCTATCCCATGCCAATTATCTTGTGAAATTTAGTCAATGCTGTTTATCCATGAGAATCTACTTGAATTCTTGTGAGAGACAAGGATAATTACAGAAGAAGTTTTTCGTATTTTAGTATTACATTTATTCTGTTAAATACAATGTGTATAGGGAACAAATTAACCTTTGTTTATTCAGACATATAGCAAAGCATTATGCCTTAAAAACATTGTTTTATAGCAGACAAAATATTTAGAAGGTAAACACTTCTCACAGTCATACAGTTCTAGGCTTTTAGACAAGCTCTGTTTTCATTAATTAATTCAACCTGAACATTACCAATTAAATCAGACAGTTTCTCTCCAGATGCTTTCCAATTTGTCTTTGATTGATGTTTTAATTATACCTTTAAAAAATTTCCCTAATACTTTAGGTAACGTTTCTCCATTTCCTTTAAAATGTGCCATTTTTATTGTAGAGTTTTAGAGCCACAACACAAAGAATAGGATTGTCTTCCCAAACTTTGGAATGCTGACATCAGGGTATCTGGACCAGAAGCTGGAGGGCTCAGGGTCCTCCTTCTTCCAGATGAAAAACAGCACCTAATCCCAGCATCCTCCAGAACCTGATGCTTTCTTCCCTTATTGGATCCTGTAGCATCCCGTGCCCTCTCTACACCTGTGGACATGCTACCCCATCTGCTCGCAGCATCATTTTTGTCCACTCCATTTTGCAAAGCTAAATCTTACTCATGTTTTTAGTCAGAGGATAGTTATCATATTGCCCTGATGATGGTGTGGCTCCTTAGGGACACTCTGCAAATACATTCTCAGAGCTCTCATACTTCACCATCACAGTTGTTATCAAACTGCACTGCAATAAATCAGCCACTTCTCTGTGTGCCACAAGAAGTCAGAGTTTTACTGAGGGCATAGTCTTGAGTGTTTTGCTCATTCAACACTTAACACAGTTCTCCTGATATTGCCCAATAAACATTTGTTGAATGAAGAAACTGGCATTTAACACCGTCATTTAAAAAGAGCATGGAATGCCAAAATTCATTATATATTTTATAGAAATAAATATCCTACAGATGAATATGATACCAGCATTCTTTAAAAAAAAATACTGTTAAAAGGGCAGCAATCACAACAACATTCACTAACATCTGTTAGTAGGACCTAACAACTCACAGAACTTACAGTTGTTACTAATATCAATTTGAAGTTGTAAGGTAAAATGTATTCTTTTAGATCAGACTAATAAAAATATAAGACCATAGTATAAATTAGTTTTAGATTTACATACCTATGATATTCTTTAACTTTTTTCTAATTATTAATGATAGCTACAGGAAAATTTGGAAAGCATTAACTCACTGGCATTTTAATACTCACTTCTCTCCTCTCTTGGCCACAATTGATTGGTACAGGTGTGTCTTACAATCATTTCTTTTTTATATCTGTGATGTGTATTATAATGAGCAGGACCATATATTTAAGTTTTCCCTTATTGTCTTGGAATAATTATTTATAGTGTTCCCTTTTTACTCTCAAAAGTGTCCTTACTTGAATGACAAATTATGTGGTCATTCTAATTATGCAATCAAAATCAGAACCAAAAGAAGAAGCTGAATTATTTACTTTGTATTTTTACTACATTTTTCTTTGCTGATAACAGATGTGGGATGTGGATTCAATTGCTGGATGGAAGAAAATGATATCTTCTCATGCCAATAGCATGAACCATCCAATGCTTTAAATGCTTTAAGAAGAGACAAGGACAGTAGAAAGGGCTGGTTGTTTGCTCCGGGCTAGTGTCTGACTAGATCAGAGGTAAGTGACCATGGCCTCACACGACACACTTCTGGCATCTTGCACATCCATGAGAGAGTGTGAGGGAGGCTAAGAGGAAGAATAATTGATTGAGGGCATAATATACTCTGTGCCAGTCATCCACCATGGACTGGGGCCTTTGCATTAATCACCTCATTCAATTTTTCCAACAACTCTCTGAGGTAGATACATTCACATCAGATTTACAGATTAGGAAACTGAGGATTATCCAGCTGATGCAAATTTCCAGTGCCAATGGCCACATACATTAGCAAACTCACATTTGAACACTTATGTTACTACCTTGGGATGTGCATGTGGAGAGAAGATGGGTGCTACTGGTGGGTAAGTTATCATGTGAAAGATATTTGCCAATGTTTTTTTCCCCCCAAAGCTAAGTGTGCTAGGTGCAGAAATGTGCTTCAAGTTTGCTTTCATTAGAATTTTGAATTCCCTCAAGAATGAACATTTTTTTTTCCCCTAAAAGGTACCTGCTGGCCCCTGGCTTCCTCTTCAGACTAATCTCACTCCTACACACACCTCACTCTATATTCCAGCCACCCTGGAGCTCTCTTCATCCCTGGAGCCAAACATGACCTGTCTACGCCACAGGCTTGCCCATGTTGTTTCCTCCGTGAGGAAGTCTCTTCTACAGCCTCAGCTTGTGTCTCTATCGGTCCCTCCCTGAGTTATAGCTTCCCCAGCAAGGTCTCCTTGGGCTTTTCAGACCAGAGCAGTCCCTTTGTCACGTCCTACTATAGCATCATATTTCCCTTTTGGTAAGGTGCATCACATTGTGACTTCTTACAAACTTCACAGTGGCAATGGTGATATATGTACAAAACGCCGCTGAACTGCCAGTGCCCAGCACAGACCCTGGCACCGGTATGCACTCCTCATGTCCTTGGAAGTGTTAAATATTAATATTCAGTCCGCATGTAATATTTTGCCCACTGGAATCTGTTTCAAATTGTTTTATCTGACTACACCTTCATGTCTAAAGTGTAACCGAACACATTTTATAAAAAAGCATTAAACAATATGTTCATGAAAACAAACAGAAAAAAAAATTCTTTGGCTATATTTGTTGAACAGAACTTGCATGTATCTGAGTCCATGAAGATTATAAAAATAAAAATAAATGCATATGCCTTTCTATTATAATGGAATTGCTTTGTTTTATTTGCAAGAATGTTCACCACAAGCTTAATTAGTACTCTTTAGACCAAAGAAATAATGCCTGACATGATTCACCTTCTATCAGGAGTAAAATTTAAAAGAAAAATGTCAGGTGTGAAGACTTGGAAGCACTCAGAATGTATCAATTATTTATATTAACATTCATTATCTGACTAAAAGGCAGGATAAAGGCTTTGGGGGAATGGTAGGGTTCACATAATTTCTCTCTAATTATTCTAATTTACTATAATTAAGACACTAAAATAATCTTGAGAGAAACAATAATGTCTTAATATCAACCCAGAGAGGAAAAAGCTATTTCTGCATTTTTATCTTTATTTACTATAACTTTTTAATGCGACAGAAAGACTGATCTTGTGTAAAAGTTTTTAAAATTATGGCTTTTAGAACTTCTAACATGAAACTCAAAATTCTAACAGTTAAGTCTATAAAGTGTTTATAAATTCATAAAATCGATCACATCTATATTATATATGAACTCTATGAAGATCATGGCTTTTAGAAAAAGGGCACCTTTAATATACATTCTTAGGATTTCAAGAGTGGTAAAAAATACACAGAAAAGTATGAATTAGATATGCTCTCTGGGGAAGTCATTTCCTGATGGTAAAAAGACTTCGGAAGGCAGAATCACAACAACAGACATAAAGTATGATATTTATTATTTAATAAACCCACAAGAACTATGAAAGTAATGCCATATCACATTTTCCTCATATAATTATAAGCCAATTTTGATTGCAGTTGGGTTGTTTTAGACTGAAAGAAACATTGTTTAAAATAAAAGTCCACACCATTATTACTAAATATAGGTTAAGCTACAACTCAAGCAGCTGCCTCTGGGGCTTGGGGATCTTGGAAATAAGGGAAAGACTTCAGGGGACTCAGCCAGGGGAGGATATTTAGCATGAAAATGTGACCAATTTCTGATATTCAAAGACCTTTCAAAAAAAGGTGAATTGAGAATTTATGTTAAATTCATGAGGTATTTTTACAACTTCTACTCCTATGAATAGTGTTAATTCCTAGCAAGCCAGAGAAAAGCTACATTTCTTATCTTTCCCTTCTTAGATTATTCAAAGCAATATCAGATAGAACAATGTTTACTTTTCAAATTTTTGTCACTGCAAAACACACTCACTGTATCAGGTGTTCCCTATCCCTGGGCCACAGACTGGTATTGGTCCATGGTCTGTTAGGAACTGGGGATCTAGGATCCCTCATGGGAGGAATCTAGGTTGTGTGCTTCTTATGAGAATCTAACTAAAGCCTGATGCTTTCAAGTTGAACAGTTTCATCCTGAAACCACTCCCCGCCATCCTACTCCCCTCCACCTTGTCCGTCTGTGCAAAAAATTGTCTTCCACGAAATCAGTCCCTCGTGCCAAAAAGGCTGGGGACCGCTGCTCAGCATAAAGTGTATATAACATATAGTTTTGAGAATACCACTATACAATTAACACCAATATACACACCACCCAGTACTTTTGAAACCCTCCATAGGCTTCTTCAATCGTTCTCTCCCCTTCTGAGTAACTATTGTGTAGAATTTTGTGTATTCATTTATTTGCTTTTCTTTATCAGTTCACCAGAAAGGTAGGCAGCCATAGACAATATGTTGTTGAGGTGTGATTTCTGACCTTCAGAAGAATGGAAATATAATACGTACTTTGCAATTTGCTTTTTTTTTCACTCAACATGATGCTTCTGAGATTTATCTATGCTGACATGTAGTTTGATTTAATTCATTTTACTGAAGCCATTATATGAGTATATAAAGTTCCATTGAATAGCTTGTTAAAATTCTATTGTATACATTTCACCGAATGAATATAACACACTTTATTTGTTCATTTTACAGATGCTGAACATTTGAGCTGTTTCTAGGATTCTAGTTTCACAACAACGCAGCTATGACCACTAGGAACATTCCTGTACACGTCCCTGGGGCACATGTGATGGTTTTTCCAGGGTTTGTGGCTTTCTGTAGCCAGAAGCAGAATTTCTGGGTTGCTAGGTATACGCATGTTCACCTTTACTGTGTAATGCCAAATTGTTCCCCAAATTGTTTTTTAAACACTAATTCCCACATTAATTAGGTTGCTTAAGTGTTCCTATTGTTTTATATGCTTACCAATACTTGATAAACAATATATTTTCTTACTGTTGCAATGGACTGAACATTATCCAAAGAGAGGTAAAGTTTGCATATATTTTTGTTTAGGATAGATTAAAATTAGTGCCATATTTATTACAAGACATAGCTGTATTTTTTAATAGAGAGCTAGAACCATGCTTGAGTATAAAAGTATAAAAGTGCTCAGCCTATGGCACCAAGATGAGTCTATAAACATGCTAGGCATTGATTCAAAAGAAGAAAAATGGGCTAAGGTATATTATTGAGACAGCAAAATCTTTCTGCTGTTTGCATCTACACCCAAAATTTTAGACACTTGTTGGGGGGAGAACTTTTGCTTTATATATCAGAAATACTTTTAATTAAATGGGCTGATATCTTTAATAGAAACTGTATTTTAGCAGAATGATCTTATATATTTGGCTATTGAGAATGAAGGACACATATTGGAAAAGGGATATTTATGAACTGCCATCTATAAGTTGATGCTTTAGCCCTTCTCACATGATATATCTGTATCATGTGTGTGTATGTGTATATATGTGTCTGTGTGTGTATATATATTTACATGTATATATTTTTCTTCAGCTGATGAGATATATATATTTGTCAGATGAATTTATGTATGTATATATTTCATCACATTAAGAAAAAATACAAGAGTATTACTTCATACACAATAGATGAGGCATGTAATTAATTTGCCAGATCTGTAACAAGGAAATTGATAAATGCATAGTTTTATCAACTTCTAGCTTGGCATTTGGAATAACTTAAATATTAGCCCTAAATATTTGGTCAAGTTTTCCTACTTTGAGATAGAGGGCATAATTTGCAGTTGTCTAATAAATATGAGCTTTATATCTACTTCTTTAGCTTTATATATGGAAACATCATGTTATTGAGAATGAACAATCTATAGCACTCAAGATCTGCAACAGTTTTTGAATTATCAAGGAAATAAAACAATATTTACACCTTAGGCTGCATCAGAATTCATGTATTGTTACATTGAAAGACAAGTTATGATGGAACAAAATTTCAAATTGTTACTGCTAAGTATTATTATTGCTTTTAATTTTGGAGTTTTTGTAAATGATAATGAAAAATAAAACAATTGTGAATATTTTAATCATCAAACTGTTGTATGCTCTCTTTTATACATACATACTTAAATATAATTATATATTTTTAAAAATTGGGTTTGTAAAGTAGACACTGGTTTTGGCTTGCTTTCTTTTCATTTAATACATAAGGGGAATTTTTCCATATATGGAATAGCATGTGATATGAAACAAAACTGTCTGGATTCTATTCAAATGGGTGGAATAATTAAAGTTAAAAGGTGCTTTCTTATTAGATACTTAGCTTTTAAGATACCTTCTCAGGCCAGGGTTGCAGTGATGCTCTGATAAATTTTGTGGGCCCAAATCTTTAGCCACTATTTTAAAAAAGAAATTATTTTATACTCTGTTTCCTGGGTTTCCTGAGATGGTTGTAACAAATTACCACACACTGGGTGGCTTAAAACAACAAGAAATTATTCTCTCACAGTTCTGTTGTCCAGAAGTCCAAAATTAAGGGGTTGCCAAGGCCATGTTTCTTCTGAAGGCTCTGGGGGAAGATCTGCTTTTATCTTTCCAGCTTCTGGTGGCTGTTGTGTTTCTTGATTTCTTGACTTCTGAAAGCATCACACCAATCTCCACCTTCATAGTCACGTTGTCTCCTTCTCTTCTCTGTGTCTAATCTCCTTCTTCCTTATTCTTTTTTTTTTCTGAGACAGTCTCGCTCTGTCGCCCAGGCTGGAGTGCCTTATTCTTATAAGGATTACTGTAGCTGAATTTAGGACCAGATAATCCAGGATGACGTCGTCATCTGAAGATCCTTAGTGTAATTATATCTTTTGGGGCATAAAGGGAGTGAGAGAAAGAGAGTGAGACACGGCATTCTTATCACAAGACAAGCAGTGGGGTAGAGTATTTCATCAGGCTTCAGTATGGTCAGAAAACAATCTCACCTGAGACTAATCACTTTTGGTTCTAATATTCTGCTTATTTACAACTGTCTGATTTGGGTTCCCAGACAGTTCAGTGGCAGGAAAGGAGAGTTCTGGATGACAGACAGTAGCTTTAGTTTCTGAAAATGGATATATCATTCTACTGAGTGATAAAATTGTATCTTTGGGTGATTTAGGTGAAAGTTGACTTGTTACTGAGTTTCTAATCCTTTTAGATGTGTAAGAAAATGCATGTTGTACATTTGGGACACTAAGGACTCATCATATTTGGTTACTTACGATGTTCCTAGACACCTACTCCAGGATAATATTTATGTTTGTGGTAAATTTATGACAATTCTACTGCCTTCTGGTATTCACACTTTTTGTAATATAACTCTGTAGCTCCTCACATCAAGAAGTAGAGTATATTTTCTCATTCTTGGATCTGTACTTGTCTTGTGACTTATCTTGGGTAACAGAATGTGGTTGAAGTGACAGTAAGCCAGTTCCTTTTATGTTTCCATTCTTGATCTTGGAACCCAGACACTACCGTAAGTCCAGAATTTTCTTCTAGAAAGATGAGCATCATAAGGAGCAGTGCTGTCTTCCCAGGCAAGCCTTTCCTAGACTGACTTTGCTACAGCCAGTCTTCCAGCTGACCACGGATGCATGTATGAGCTGGGTCCCTGCAGGAGTGCCCAGCGGACCCATAGAGATATGACAGCATGAGAAATTATAATGGTTGTTGTTTTAAGCCTCCAAATTTTAGCAATTATAAATGTTTCATAAACATTCACGTGCAGGTTTTTGTGCAGGCATGTTTTCAACTCCTTTTGGTAAATACCAAGAAGTGCAATTGCCGAATCATATAGTAAGAACATATTTAATTTTGCAAGAAATCACCAAACTGTTTGCCACAATGGCTGTACCATTTTGTATTCCCACCAGCAATGAATGAGACTTTCTGTTGCTCCACATCCTTGCCAGCATTTGGTGTTGTCTGTGTTTTGGATGTTGGCCATTCTAATAGGTGTGTAGTAGGGTCTTATTGTTGTTTTAATTTCCCTGAAGACATACAGTGTGGAACATTCTTATCTTCTTATTTGCCATTTGTATATTTTTTTTGGTGACATGTCTATTAAAGTTTTTGGCCCATTTTTAAATTGGGTTGTTTGTGTTTTTATTATTAATTTTTAAGAGTTCTTTGTATATTTTAGATAACAGTCATTTTTCTGATGTGTCTTTTGTAAATATTTCTCCCAGTCTACTGCTTGTCATCTCATTCTCTTGATGAACACTTACCCTGGGGATGCAAGTTTAAGAATGCTATCAATTAAAGATATAAAATATTAATGGTACAGCATATTCTTTTCCTTTGCTAAACATATTTTAATAAGAGTATAATATCCAATTGGAGTACATATTGATAGAACTATATATGAGAGTAGTTTTTACAAAGATAAAATTGTCTTGTATAAAAACTCCCCTCTGGGACTAATATTCTCGACCACTGTTGGGTGTAAAATTCTCAAAATATCAAGCTGTGTTTTGGAAAGTCTTGCAGTAGCAAAAGCACATCATTGCAACTGATGCCCCCTTTGAGAGAAGTTCAGTATATCCTTTTAAATTCAGGGGTTCTCACATAGTAGATTGCAATCTATTTAACTACTGAATTTTATTTTTAGATTCGTAAGTGCCTTTCTGTAGCTATACCTCATGTTCATCTCTACATCTTAGGCTGGATCCCCAGGTCTGGGAGGCAGGGCCATAATATCATGTAGTGCCCTTTCCCAATTCACTGTACATGTGCTCAGTAACTCTGCTTTCTCTCACTGCTTAAATCCCACACAGTCAGAAAAATGAAAAGTTGTTTCTTCCCAGCACAGCAAAAGCCCATTCATCTTTAAAGGCCTATCACTAATGTTATCTCCTTCCAAGATTTTCTAAGAGCCCTTCCTAACCTCACAAGTCATGCTCATCTCTTCCCAGTGCTTGCATTGGAATGGATCCTCCATTTTCCTGGTTCCATATTGCAGATTTTCAGTTTCTCTATTTTAGCATCTGACTCAACCTACTCTACACTCTGCGTCTGTGTGAAGGAAGTTGCATTTTGAAGGGAGGACAGAGTGGCTGTTATTTTAAAAAATGCTGTGGCCCTTGGACAGAGCAAAAAAAGGCAGAGTTATCTCAGAGCTGTCACTTCCCTCAGATGTCCAGTCCTCAGCTTTGTAGGTGCAAGAGATCCATGATGTCAGAATCCCATGAGGGCTTGTTTCTGATAGGTGGCTTTGCAGTAACCCGACTGTCATAAAGAGCACTGTGTTAATTCATTATTTCTCAATGAAAACTGAGAAAGTCATCTAGAAAACAGAAAGTCATCTAGATCACAATGTTCTGAGCAATCTTAAGGGCACACTCCTCCCTGAATTAAAGTTCCAAAGACAGTGAGACTACCATCAGCTAAATATTGGCAATGAGTTGAAAACCTTGGTAACAAGTGACACCAGTTGATGATAAATGAATGACCCTTCCTCCACTCTGGGACTGCATCTGACTCAGGGCCACATTCTTTCACTTGTTGGGAGTAGTTTCTTTTCTCTAGGGCAGAACTAGGGAGGGGATATTACTAAATTCTACCTCAGTTGATCTTATTTTCTCATGGCTCCATACTAAATGAGTGCTTTCTGTTAATTTCTTTATTCTTTAGATAGTTTTTCTTTTGCTAAGTGATAGGGTTAGGCTTTGTGTCGTCATTCAAATCTCATCTTGAATTGTAATCCCCAGGTGTTTAGGGAGAGACCTGGTAGGAAGTGACTGGATTATGGGGGCAGTTTCCCCCATGCTGTTCTCGTGATAGTGAGTGAATTCTCATGAGATCTGATTGTTTTATAAATGGTAGTTTTTCTTGTGCTGACACATGCTGTCTTGCCTGCTGCCATGTAAGACGTGCCTGCTTCACCTGCTGCCATGTTTGTAAGTTTCCTGAGGCCTTCCCAGGCATATGGAACTGTGAGTCAAAACTTTTTCCTTTATACATTGCCCAGTCTTGGGTATTTCTTTATAGCAGTGTGAAAATGGACTGTTACACTAAGTTAATTTAAAAACATTATATAAAACTACAGGAAGAAGAGGAAAAATGGATTTTAAGTGTTCCTTTGTTAATTCTGAGAGTATCTCACCCTAAACCCTTTGCAAAAATTACACACATAGATTTTCCACTAATTGCATTACAAATTCCATAGGAAAGAATGCATTTTAAGCATCATCTTTGCATTGCCACATACATTTAGCAAAATGACTTACATACGGTAGGAACTCAAAATTTAATTTAAGAAGTTTTTTTTTGACTTATCTCTGAGCGAAAATAATGGATTGCTAAATGAAAACCAAACAAATTAGGAGTCATCATATCCAGAATTCTGTCATTTCCAAAAATATAATCATTGTATGTCTGCTTTTGGTTATTGTCTATTTGGGTAGCTATTTTGCAAAATTAAATGAAAAATATAGGTATAATTGTGTACTCTTGGTTTTGCTTTTTTCCATTCAATTATGTCAAAATGTTTTTAAACTGAGATAAATTTGTATAATTATAATTGTAATGGTTGTATAATATTCCATGGGGTGGAAATGCCATAATTTACATAACTATTCTTACATTATTAGACATTAAAATTGTTTCCAGCTTTCATTAATATAAAGAACACTGCAATGGATATCTTAATATTCAAAGAGTTTTATTTTTAGGTTATTACTTTGGGATATATATGCAAAAGTAAATTTGTGTGCAATCGAACTATGAAAGATTTAGGAAAGTAGTTGAAAATGACTTGAGAACTGGTTTCTCACAGTGAGAAGTTGTATGTGTAGGCCCTGGCAGACCTACTGCAGGAAGAAATAGAAGCTGGAAGCAGACAGACTGCTGACGGGATCCTCCCTTAGCTTAGCAGCATGGTATAAAATGCAGTGAGGTCTGTGACCTAGCTGGTTCTTGGCTCTATGAAGATGATATATGACCACCAAACTTCAGTCTTGCTTGTGTGAAAAACTCTAAAGACAAGAAATCTGCATACACTCACTCACTTGTATCATCAACTGATAATCTTTGCACCATTGTTTGCTGGTTTGAAAATGAATCAAGGAGAATACGTTTTGAATGAGGCCAAGACATTTTTTTTTTCCACCAGTCACGGATGTGGAGCAGGGTGTGTATCAGGCCCAGCTCAGGGTGCCGTTATGTGACAATGTGAGGATTGTGACAGCATTTGGAGAGGGTCCTAGTGATATCTGTATGCTATATTCAACCACAACTACCATTCCTACAAGGTCCCTGAGTGGAAGAGAGAGATGTACAAAGATGCAAAGAAAGGCAACACATTACTAGGGAGTTGGCTCTAAACCCCATCACAGTGCTGGTAATCCAGGCTGAGGTTTCCCTGACCCAAACTTCAAAAGAAATCTTGGAGCTACTGTTCCAGTCTGAGCAGACTTGAAGGCCTATTTGTTACTGTTTAAGCTGGATGTGATTAAAAAATAAATTAAGGTGTGCCAGGGCATCTGGCATTTTTCTCTATTACCTCTCTCCCTTTGAAAAATAAAACACTAACCGTACTAATCTTCAGAGTTACACAGCATCTCTCTCTATCTACATATATAGATATCTATATCTATCTACATATATAGATATCTATATCTATCTACATATATAGATATCTATATCTATCTACATATATAGATATCTATATCTATATCTGTATCTATATCTATATATCTCCATGGGTGTGGTATATTTCTGCAAAGTAACTTCAGCAAATAAATCTGCCTATGTGGAAAATGGTTGTGTATATATATATATATATATATATAGAGAGAGAGAGAGAGAGAGAGAGATCCGTATCTATATAGCGACATATATATAATGAATTATAATGAACTCACTGTCTTAATATCAACCCCTTTACTTAATAACTTGTAGACCTTTTTCTTTTTCAATTCTAATCTATGAGGTTGTACATTATCCTTCCAAGGGTTTCAAAATATTCTATTGAGAACCATGCTGATATATTTCTTTTGATTTATTTTGTTTCCCTAGAGTAATTCCTCAGAAAATGTTCTCAAAGAGTGAAGCGAATACTATATTTCATGAATTCTGATGTGTCTGAATGCCTTTCTTTTGCCACGTACATGGATAAAATTTGTCTGGGTATAAGCCCATGGCCACAATCCGTTTTTATCCAGAACTATGTAACATTGCTTTATTATTTTCTAGCATTAATCTTGCAGATGAGAAATGTGAAGACAGATTAATTCTCTTTCATTTGAAGACAACCTATTTCATTTTTCTTTATGGAAGCTTATGGGATTTCTTCTGTCATTGCAATTCAGAATTTTCCCTAGGATATGTCTAAATATGTACCTTCTATCAATATTTATGTTCTGCATTCAGAGGGGCCCTTTCTTCCTAAAGAGCCAAGCTCAGACATATTTCCTTTAATTATTTTATTTATTATTGTCTCTACTTCACATAGTTTGCCTTCTCATTCTGGAGATACTTTTAGGAGCATGGGCAGCATGGTCAGGGCTCTTGCTCTGGTGTTATGAAAGTCATTTCTATGTTCTGTTATTGGTCGTTCTAACCTCAGATGCGTCCTAGCCTCTGTGTTCCAGAGCTTCCAATCCCACAGAGAGGTAAAAAGAACCTTAAAAATGTCATTATGTCAAGTAGCAATAACTTTTTCGAAGAATTTTTAACGTACTATTTTATTTGATTAAATATGAGCTAAAAACAGTGATTAAATGTAACTGATAACTTCTTTCCCTTTTTGTATAATCAGGTGATTATTATTTCAATCAGTAATACCTAGGTTGTTCAGCTTCATGAACCATCTCCATGGGTGTGGCATATTTCTGCAAAGTAACTTCAGCAAATAAATCTGCCTATTTGGAAAATGGTTGTATTTCTAACACCGTCTAGTGATCAGATCACGCTGATTTTCTACATTAATATAATAATTTATATGTATGTCTATTTCAGAGAAGTCAGGATTATATCTTCTTAGATAAGTATCTCCCTTGGAGACTTTTTTGCTTTTGCTATTAGAAAAGAACACATTTATACATAGTCTGCATGGTAGTACCATTCAGGTCTTTTCCATGTACCTTAGATCAGTAATTCTCAACACTGTTCATTAGACTGTCCGGAGCACTTTTAAAAGTACCATTGCTCATGCCACGTCCCAGAACAATTCAGCTTGTGAATCTGGGGCCTGGGCTTCAGTACGTTTCAAAAGTTCCTCAGATTATTTTATTATGTATCTGAGTTTAGAACTACTGTCTTGGTAAAACAGGAAGAGGAATGATTCTACATTTGTGTGTCTGACTATCATTTGTTCTTGTGCATGGAACTGTTATGGTGGCTGTATATTGCAGAAAGGACATGAGGATAACATCAGCAGTGCTCTGTGCTATAGATCAAGCCAGTTTCAAAGGTTTGCAGCAGCCATGTAGAGCTATGCAGTGCAATGTAAAGCCATGCAGATACATGCAGAGCAATGGCCATGCACAGTTGTCAGACTGTGGCACATTGGAATTCAAAGATTATGTTTAGTATTTATTCACATATAAAAATATTTTATTCTAGGAAACAAATATGAAACACAATTTGAACTGTTACTTCCAAAAAATCATTGTAAGTATAAACTCTAAAATCTCATATCATAGTTTACTCATGCAAAGAATTTCTGCACTTAAAAAATTGCAAGTCTAAGTTGCTATGAGGACAGTATATAATATAGTTTTCTTTGAAAATATCTCACATTATAAAACTTCATAAAGTCACTGATATGACAGTGACTGATTTTATATTATAAACATTTCTAAAGAAATATGTTCAGATGATCCTTCATGTTGATAAGGCAATATATTTTGTCAGTTCTCCAAATAAGATCACATTTCAAATATTTATTACATGGTATAATACGAAATAGAAGCAACATATATATAATTCTCCTCTACTCCTTCCTCTCTCCCACTTTCTTTCCTCTTCCTTGTCTTCCCATAGAAGTAAAGGAGAAAATACTAAGTTGAAATCTGCAGACTTGATGTCTCAAGTATCACATTGTTGTCTTAGTAGTTAAAAGTTTCAAAGAACTGAAATATTTAGTTATTCTGGGGTGTCTAGGAATATATCTTATCAATGGGCATATATGTACACCTGGCTTGGAGTTGTTCATGCTGCTCATAGCATTACTGCTACTACTGTAACAGCTTCCACTCCTCCTCCTTCACTATTATTATCATCACTACTGGTAATAATAATAATAATGGAAATAGTAAAAATGTATGTTGTGCTTACTATTTGCAAGTCATTATTCCAAGCAGTTCACTCTCTTAATCACAGGAACAACCCTGTGTAGATGGGAACTATTCTTATCCTCATTTTACATACAAGGAAACAGACATAGAGAGGTTAATGACTTTGAAAATGTTGAGTGCAGGAGTTAGGATTCAAAACTGTGCTTTTCACTACTATATGCTACAATTAATTTATAATTAAGTCCATAACTATACTTAGAAATGTAAAATGAGATTTAAAGATCTTAGAAAACAGAGTGGAAAAATGTGCTCAGGACAAGGAACTTCAACCAAAATAAACGAAAGAACGAGTGCCCTGAGTTGTATTGGTTTAAATTTTCAGATTGCAGCTGAATTTAATATTAGAACCTAGGTAGCAGGATAATGAAACACTGCTTTTTTTTTCTAGTTTTTCTGTATAAAAAATGAGGCTGTTATGAATTGTCTTATGTTTTCTGCTGTTCCTCTGAAGTAATTTCTAGGGGTGCAACTGATGGGTAATAGCATAAGTACATTTTGAGCTTTGCAAGATATCACCTGGCTTGTGCATGTGTCTTTATAGCAGCATGATTTATAATCCTTTGGGAATATACCCAGTAATGGGATGGCTGGGTCAAATGGTATTTATAGTTCTAGATCCATGAGGAATCACCACACTGTCTTCCACAATGGTTGAACTAGTTTACATTCCCACCAACAGTGTAAAAGTGTTCCTATTTTTCCACATCCTCTCCAGCACCTGTTGTTTCCTGACTTTTTAATGATCGCCATTCTAACTGGTGTGAGACGGTACCTCATTGTGGCTTTGATTTGCATTTCTCTGATGACCAGTGATGATGAGCATTTTTTTAATGTGTCTGTTGGCTGCATAAATGTCTTCTTTTGAGAAGTGTCTGTTCATATCCTTTGTCCACTTTTTGATGGGGTTGTTTGTTTTTTTCTTGTAAATATGTTTGAGTTCTTTGTAGATTCTGGATATTAGCCCTTTGTGAGATGAGTAGATTGCAAAAATTTTCTCCCATTCTGTAGGTTGCCTGTTCACTCTGATGGTAGTTTCTTTTGCTGTGCAGAGGCTCTTTAGTTTAATTAGATCCCATTTGTCTATTTTGGCTTTTGCTGCCACTGCTTTTTGTGTTTTAGACATGAAGTCCTTGCCCGTGCCTATGTCCTGAATGGTATTGCCTAGGTTTTTTTCTAGGGTTTTTATTGTTTTAGGTTTAACATTTAAGTCTTTAATCCATCTTGAATTAATTTTTGTATATGGTGTAAGGAAGGGATCCAGTTTCAGCTTTCTACATATGGCTAGCCAGTTTTCCCAGCACCATTTATTAAATAGGGAATCCTTTCCCCGTTGCTTGTTTTTGTCAGGTTTGTCAAAGATCAGATGGTTGTAGAGGTGTGGTGTTATTTCTGAGGGCTCTGTTCTGTTCCAGTGGTCTATATTTCTGTTTTGGGACCAGTACCGTGTTGTTTTGGTTACTGTAGCCTTGTAGTATAGTTTAAAGTCAGGTAGCATGATGTCTCCAGCTTTGTTCTTCTGGCTTAGGATTGTCTTGGCAATGCGGGCTCTTTTTTGGTTCCATATGAACTTTAAAGTGTTTTTTTCCAATTCTGTGAAGAAAGTCATTGGTAGCTTGATGGGGATGGCATTAAATCTATAAATTACCTTGGGCAGTATGGCCATTTTCACGATACTGATTCTTCCTATCCATGAGCATGGAATGTTCTTCCATTTGTTTGTGTCCTCTTTTATTTTGTTGAGCAGTGTTTTGTAGCTCTCCTTAAAGAGGTCCTTCACATCCCTTATAAGTTGAATAAAATATAAGTATTTTATTCTCTTTGAAGCAATCGTGAATGGGAGTTCACTCATGATTTGGCTCTCTGTCTGTTATTGGTGTATAGGAATACTTGTGAGTTTTACATTGATTTTGTATCCTGAGACTTTGCTGAAGTTGCTCATCAGCTTAAGGAGATATTGGGCTGACACGATGGGGTTTTCTAAATATACAATCATGTCATCTGCAAACAAGGAAAATTTGACTTCCTCTTTTCCTAATTGAATACCCTTTATTTCCTTCTCCTGCCTGATTGCGCTGGCCAGAACTTCCAGCACTATGTTGAATAGGAGTGGTGAGAGAGGGCATCCCTGTCTTGTGCCAGTTTTTAAAGGGAATGCTTCCAGTTTTTGCCCATTCAGTATCATAGTGTCTGTGGGTTTGTCATAAATAGCTCTTATTATTTTGAGATGCATCCCATCAACACCTAGTTTATTGAGAGTTTTTAGCATGAAGGGCTGTTGAATTTTGTTGAAGGCCTTTTCTGCATCTATTGAGATAATCACGTGGTTTTTGTCTTTGGTTCTGTTTATATGATAGATTATGTTGATTGATTTGTGTATGTTGAACCAGCCTTGCATCCCAGGGATGAAGCCAACTTGATTGTGATGGATAAGCTTTTTGATATAGTGCTGGATTCGGTTTGCCAGTATTTTATCAAGGATTTTTGCATCAATGTTCATCAGGGATATTGGTCTAAAATTCTCTTTTTTTGTTGTGTCTCTGCCAGGCTTTGGTATCAGGATGATGCTGGCCTCATAAAATGAGTTAGGGAGGACTCCCTCTTTTTCTTTTGATTGGAATAGTTTCAGAAGGAATGGTAGCAGCTCGTCTTTGTACCTCTGGTAGAATTCGGCTGTGAATCCATCTGGTCCTGGACTTTTTTTGGTTGGTGGGCTATTAATTATTGCCTCAATTTCAGAGCCTGTTATTGGTCTATTCAGGGATTCAACTTCTTCCTGGTTTAGTCTTGGGAGGGTGTATGTGTCAAGGAATTTATCCATTTCTTCTAGATTTTCTGGTTTATTTGTGTAGAGGTGTTTATAGTATTCTCTGATGGTAGTTTGTACTTCTGTGGGATTGGTGGTGATCTCCCCTTTATCACTTTTTATTGCATCTATTTGATTCTTCTCTCTTTGCTTCTTTATTAGTCTTGCTAGTGGTCTATCGATTTTGTTGATCTTTTCAGAAAACCAGCTACTGGATTCATTGATTTTTTTTGAAAGGTTTTTTGTGTCTATCTCCTTCAGTTTTGCTCTGATCTTAATTATTTCTTGCCTTCTGCTAGCTTTTGAATGTGTTTGCTCTTGCATCTCTAGTTCTTTGAATTGTGATGTTAGGGTGTCAATTTTAGATCTTTCCTGCTTTCTCTTGTGGGCATTTAGTGCTATAAATTTCCCTCTACACACTGCTTTAAATGTGTCCCAGAGATTCTGGTATGTTGTATCTTTGTTCTCATTGGTTTTAAAGAACATCTTTATTTCTGCCTTCATTTTGTTATGTACCCAGTAGTCATTCAGGAGCAGGTTGTTCAGTTTCCAGGTAGTTGAGTGGTTTTGAGTGAGTTTCTTAATCCTGAGTTCTAATTTGATTGCACTGTGGTCTGAGAGACAGTTTGTTATAATTTCTGTTCTTTTACATTTGCTGAGGAGTGCTTTACTTCCAACTGTGTGGTCAATTTTGGAATAAGTGTGATGTGCTGAGAAGAATGTATATTCTGTTGATTTGGGGTGGAGAGTTCTGTAGATATCTATTAGGTCCGCTTGGTGCAGAGCTGAATTCAATTCCTGGATATCCTTGTTAACTTTCTGTCTCGTTGATCTGTCTAATGTTGACAGTGGGGTGTTAAAGTCTCCCATTATTATTGTGTGGGAGTCTAAGTCTCTTTGTAGGTCTCTAAGGACTTGTTTTATGAATCTGGGTGCTCCTGTATTGGGTGCATATATATTTAGGATAGTTAGCTCTTCTTGTTGAAATGATCCCTTTACCATCATGTAATGGCCTTCTTTGTCTCTTTTGATCTTTCTTGGTTTAAAGTCTGTTTTATCAGAGACTAGGATTGCAACCCCTGCTTTTTTTTGTTTTCCATTTGCTTGGCAGATCTTCCTCCATCCCTTTATTTTGAGCCTATGTGTGTCTCTGCATGTGAGGTGGGTCTCCTGAATACAGCACAGTGACGGGTCTTGGCTCTTTATCGAATTTGCCAGTCTGTGTCTTTTAATTGGAGCATTTAGCCCATTTACATTTAAGGTTAATATTGTTATGTGTGAGTTTGATCCTGTCATTATGATGTTAGCTCGTTATTTTGCCCAGTAGTTGATGCAGTTTCTTCATAGCATTGACAGTCTTTACAATTTGGCATGTTTTTGCAGTGGCTGGTACCAGTTGTTCCTTTCCATGTTTATTGCTTCCTTCAGGAGCTCTTGTAAGGCAGGCATGGTGGTGACAAAATCTCTCAGCATTTACTTGTCTGTAAAGGATATTAGTTCTCCTTCACTTATGATGCTTCGTTTGGCTGGATATGAAATTCTGGTTTAAAAATTCTTTTCTTTAAGAATGTTGAATATTGGCCCCCACTCTCTTCTGGCTTGTAGAGTTTCTGCCAAGAGATCCGCTGTTAGTCTGATGGGCTTCCCTTTTTGGGTAACCCGACCTTTCTCTCTGGCTGCCCTTAATATTTTTTCCTTCATTTCAACTTTGGTGAATCTGACAATTATGTGTCTTGGAGTTGCTCTTCTCAAGGAGTATCTTTGTGGTGTTCTCTGTATTTCCTGAATTTGAATGTTGGCCTGCCTCGCTAGGTTGGGGAATTTCTCCTGGATAATATCCTGCAGAGTGTTTTCCAACTTGGTTCCATTCTCCCTGTTACTTTCAGGTACACCAGTCAGACATAGAGTTGGTCATTTCACATAGTCCCATATTTCTTGGAGGCTTTGTTCATTTCTTCTTACTCTTTTTTCTCTAAACTTCTCTTCTCACTTCATTTCATTCATTTGATTTTCGATCACTGATACCCTCTCTTCCACTTGATCGAATTGGCTACTGAAGCTTGTGCATGCATCACATAGTTCTCGTACCATGGTTTTCAGCTCCATCAGGTCAGTTAAGGTCTTCTCTATGCTGTTTATTCTAGTTAGCCATTGCACTAATCTTTTTTCAAGGTTTTTATCTTCTTTGCAATGGGTTTGAACATCCTCCTTTAGCTAGGAGAAGTCTGTTATTACTGATCATCTGTCAACTTCTGTCAACTCATCAAAGTCATTCTCTGTCCAGCTATGTTCTGTTTCTGGTGAGGAGCTGCATTCCTTTGGAAGAGAAGAGGCCCTCTGATTTTTAGAATTTTCAGCTTTTCTGCTCTGGTTTCTCTCCATGTTTGTGGTTTTATCTACCTTTGGTCTTTGATGATGGTGACGTACAGATGGGGTTTTGGTGTGGATGTCCTTTCTGCAGGTCTGTTGGAGTTTGATGGAGGTCCACTCCAGGTCCTGTTTGCCTGGGTATCACCAGTGGAGGCTGCAGAACAGCAAATATTGCAGAATGGCAAATGTTGCTGCCTGATCCTTCCTCTGGAAGCTTTGTCTCAGAGGGTCACCCGGTTGTATGAGGTGTCAGTCAGCCCCTACTCGGAGGTGTCTCCTAGTTAGGCTACTCAGGGGTCAGGGACCCACTTGAGGAGGCAGTCTATCCATTCTCAGATCTCCAACTCCATGCTGGGAGAAGCACTACTCTCTTCAAAGCTGTCAGACAGGGATATTTAAGTCTGCAGAAGTTTCTGTTGCCTTTTGTTCAGCTATGCCCTACCCCCAGAGGTGGAGTCTACAGAGGCAGGCAGACCTCATTGAGCTGCGGTGGGCTCCACGAAGTTTGAGCTTCCCAGGCACTTTGTTTACTTACTCAAGCCTCAGCAATTGCGGAAGCCCCTCCCCCAGCCTTGCTGCCACCTTGTAGTTTGATCTCAGACTGCTGTGCTTGCAGTGAGTGTGGCTCTGTGGGCATGGGACCCTCTGAGCCAGGCACGGTATATAATCTCCTGGTGTGCCGTTTGCTAAGACTGTTGGAAAAATGCTGTATTAGGGTGGGAGTGTCCCAATTTTCCAGGTACTGTCTGTCGTGGATTCCCTTGGCTAGGAAAGGGAATTCCCCGACTCCTTGCGCTTCCTGGGTGAGGCAATGCCCCACCCTGCTTCGACTCACACTCTGTGGGCTGCACCCACTGTCTAACAAGCCCCAGTGAGATGAACCTGATACCTCAGTTGGAAATGCAGAAATCACCCATGTTTTATGTCACTCACACTGGGAGCTGTAGACTGAAGCTGTTCCTTTTTGGCCATCTTGGAACCCCCTCCTCTTTGTTTGTTATTAAATAGAGACAGGGTCTTGCTGTGTTTCCCAGGCCGCTCTCAAACTCCTGGGCTCAAGTGACCCTCCTGCAATGGCCTCCCAAAGTGCTGGGATTACAGGCATGAGCCGCCGTACCCAGGCAAGATATTTTTCATGCAATCAAGCTTCTCTATGTACTCTAGTCTGTTTTAGGTCAACCTAATTTATTGCATGAGTTTGCTATTTTTGATTCTTGAACAAAGGCTACATTCTATTTTATTTGCTGAATTTTAAAATATGGTTTTGTATATTTTGGATCCTTAAATTTAGGGTCTTTAAGCCTAAAAGTGGGTTTTCATATATTTGGGAGTCTTAAAACTTGAAGCAGAAATGGCTAGAGGAGACAAAGGGACTTGCTTTATAAGTTATATTGTTGTTACTCTAGTTCTATTCCTAATGGTGGCTGCTCAAAATATTTTCCTTGCCAGAACTACTAGTGGTGTCAACACTTGAAAAAAAATCCTTCAAAAATGTTTTGGTATAATGCCCTCAATACTCTTAAACAAAAAGATGTCTCTGGGAAGAATACTATGGATCTTTTCAGTGCATGGAATGAGAACACCTCTTGGGATAATTGATGCCTGGCATAACTTCGATTATTAAACAAAAGGTCCTTTCTTCTACCAAATGTGACCCATTTCCACTCACCTTTGCTTCAGCAACTAAGAATATACAAATTACCTCCAGGAATAAAAATGTATTTAGGACTGTAATAGTTAGGGTCCTCCAGAAAAACACAACCAAGAGAGCCAACACATACACACACACACACACACACACTCTCTCTCTCTCTCTCTCTCTGTCTCTCTCTTTCTCTCTATCTCTATCTCTTTCAAGATATTTATTATAAGGAATTGATTCACGTGATTTTGGAAATTGAAAATTCCCAGGATGTGTAGTCAGCAAGCTGGAGACCCAGGAGAGGCAATGATGTAGTTCCAGTCCAAGTCCTAAAGCTTGAGAATCAGGAAAGCCAATGGTGCAGTTCCAGTCCAAAAGCTGGCAGGCTTGAGGCCCAAGAAGAGCCAATGCTTCAGTTTTAGTTTGAAGGCAGGAAAAAAGCTCAACAGGTGGGCAGGAGGAATTTCATCTTACTTGTGGTAGGTCAGCCTTTTTTGTTATTTTCAAGCCTTCAACTAACTGATTGACCCTCAACTAATTAGCCTTCACATTAGTGACAGCAATCTGCTTGACTCAGCTCTATTGATTGAAATGTTAATCTCATCCAAAAACACAGTCATGGACACACACAGAGTAATCTTTTACCAAATATCTGGGCACCACATTGCCCAGTCAAGTTGACACATAAAATTAACCATCTCAAGGACTATATCATTTCCTCATTTTGCACCTGCTACAAGAAGGTTACATAAAATTTTATGAAGTATTAACATTCTTAGTTTATTTTGGTATTTCAAAGTATCAACCCCAAGGAATGTTAAAAGTGAAAGAATATTTATAAGATATTTCAAAATCATTAAGTTGGTTTGCTGGAAGGAGTTGCTACATCTAAAGCCATTATCTGTCCCTAAATTCTTGGATATTTTGAAGTAAAAGGAAATATAAACTGCAGCACAGCAGATCAGCTGGAAGAAATAGGACTGTCAAACACTTCACAAATATATGTTTGGGAACCAGAAGTACCAAAGAAGGAATGAGAAAACAATCACGTTTCTGCTAGAGAAGTTGACATTTTGAAATCTATATTTCTCCTCAGAGAAGTCCACATGACATCTGTAATGGAAATTGTTCTGAGTGAGGGAGTGAACGAGAGGGGAGAAGAAATAAATTATTAAAAACTTTGTCATACTCAATCCCAAGTGAGTGATGCTCAGAGAGATCCAGCTTATATTCATGACTAGAGAATAGACACTTAAAAAATCTATTACATTTTACATGTTGGTATAATGAATTGTGTATATGTTTTCCCCAAGGAAATTTAATTTAAATACCTTAAATTACAAATTTTCAAAGAATGGTAAATATCAGAATGGTAAAATTTACCTAAGATATCAGTCTAATTAAAAAGAAAAGCCAGACCCCAATTCATTTAAATTCATTTATTTATTCAGTAATATTTATTTCCTACATGAATAGCATTATTTCATGTATCTAAAACATGTCTGTCAGAATAAGGACAGAGAGGGAGAAAGAGAAAGTGTAAGCATGTAGAAGTGATGTGTATAAGCATATGAAAATATAAATTATTTGCACCAAATTTTATAATGGCTGTTTTGCTGAGAAACATTAGAGGATCAGAGAGGTCATTTCACTCCTTAATACTATGTGGAGAAAATGGCAGAATCAAGAAGTTTATAGTGATAAATGCTTACATTAAGAGAAAAGAAAGATCTCAAATAAACAGCCTAACTTCACAGTCCAATAAACTAGAAAAATAAGAAGAAACTAAGCCCAAAGTCAGAAGAAGAAATAAAATAATGAAGATTAGACAAAAATTAGAATTAGAAACACAGACAAAAAAAGAAAAGATCAATGAAATTGGGCTTTTTTTTTTTTTTGACACAGACCGTTGCAACAGAATAGAGAAAACAGAAATAAATTCATGTATTTATAGCCAACTGATTTTCAACAAATGCACCAAGAACATACAATTGGGGAAAGGACAGTCTCTTCAATAAAAGGGGCTGGAAAAACTAGATATCTATATGTAGAAGAATAAAACTGGGCCCCTATCTCTCACCATATACAAAAACCAATTCAAAATGGATTAAAAACAAACATGTAAGACCCAAAACTATGAAACTACTAGAAGAAAATATAGGAGAAATTCTTCAGGACATTGGACTGGGGAAAGATTTTATTAATAAGACCTCAAAAGCACCAGTAACAAAAATGAAAGTAGATAAATGGGATTATATCAAGCTACAAAGCTGGTGGACAGCAAAGGAAGCAATCAAGAGAGTAAAGAGAAAACCTACAGAATGGGAGAAAATTTTGCAAACTATTCATTTGACAAGTGAGTAATATCCAGAATATAGAAGGAACTCAAACAACTCAACAGCAAAAAATCAAATAATCTGATTTTAAAATGTACAAATGATTGGAATAAACATTTCTGGAAAAAAGACATACAAATGACCGACAAGTATATGAAAATGTTCAGTATCACTAATCATCAGGGAGATGAAAATCAGAACCACAATGAGATGGCATCTTACCCCAGTTAAAATGGGTATTATGAAAAAGGACAAAAATGACAAATGCTGGCATGGGTGCAGAGGAGAGGAAACTCTTATACATTGTTGGTGGGAATGTAAGTTAGCACAGCCATTATGGAAAAAATTATGGAGGCTCCTCAAAAAGTAAAAATAGAACTGCCATATGATCTAGTAATCCCACTCTATTTATATATCCAAGGAAAAAGAAATCAGTATGTTGAAGACATATCTACACTTTTAAGTTTATTGCAGTATTATTCACAAAAATCATTTATTGCAGCACTGCTCACAATAATCAAGGTGGATACATAAAGAAAATGTAGTGTGTACATACACAAGTGGAGAAAATGGCAAAATTAACAAGTTTATAGTGATAAATGCTATGTGGAGAAAATGGCAGAGAGAATACTATTCAGCCATAAAAAAAGAAGGAAATCCTGACGTTTGCAACAATATAGATGAACCTGGAGAATATTGTGCTAAGTGAAATAAGCCAGACGCAGACAGACAAATACTGTATGGTCTCACTTACATGTGAAATCTAAAAACTTGAACTCATAGAAACAGAGCATAGAGAGGTGATTTCCAGAATTTGGGGGCAGGGGAAATGGGGGAGATGTGGGTCAAAGGGTACAAATTTTTGGTTGTAAGATGAATAAGTTTAGCATGGTGTCCATGGTTAATAATACTATATTGTTACTTGAAATTTGATACAAATCAGATTTTAAGTGACCTCACCATCCCCACACCCACCCCCCAACTACCACACACAGGTAACTATGGATGACGTTGAATGTATTAATTAATTTGATTGTGTTATAATCATTACACAATGTATATGTATATCAAATCATCATGGTGGACACTTGGAAAATACGCAATTTTTAAATTTGAAAATTACGCCTCATTAAAGCTGGAAAATACATTAGAAAATAGCTAAAAATAATACATGGTGTGTGTGTATTATTATTTACTATGTCTGTTACTGTGCTAGGTACTAGGAGAATCAATGGTGAATAAAGGAGCCACATTTTCTGGCATTATGGAATGAGATGGTAACTAATTACATTAGACTGTGAGGTGATTTTACTGCATACTGTGATCCTAATTGAATGCTATTCGTCTTTTGCTTTGTCTATAATAGGACTATTAAAAACATTTAGATTTACTTGAAACTATTTGGACATAAACATGTAGAAAACCAGCATTAATGAGAAATATCTAGTTTCTAAGAAATATTTTAGGAATAATTTTTCAATATGATTCATGATATAGTAAATACTCATCTACATTAGTGATACCCATTTATCTTTTGTCTGATGCATTTTGAATAAAATAGAACATTTCCAAACACTCTTATTGGCACATTTCCAGCTGATTTTAAGTTGTTTAATTCATTCCACTTAATCACTAATTCATCCATTCATTCAGGACAAATTGATTAATTAGTACATGTAAGGTTCCTTAATAGGAACTGCACTAAAGAGAAATAAAAAAAAGAATGAGACATAAACTCAGTTTTATGAACCTTATTGACAAGTCATGTAGTGATAATGAGACATCTATTCAAGATATAATCATGATAAAAAAATGCCATAAAAGAATAATTGGTAAAATTCTATTTTACCTAAAAAACTATTTCTGTTCATTCCACTATAGTGATGGGGGTATTTGACATAACCCCTTTACATTAATTAATATTTTGGCAAATGGATTTGGAGTGGGGGGGGACAGCCCACCAGGTAGAGAGAACAATGAAAACCAAATAAAGGATAATCTGGAATGTGGTATTCAGTTTTGTAAATAAGACTGGTAAGACTGAGGACAGATATGAAGGCCTTCAAAAATATCTCAAGATATATTGTGTGTTTATTTTCAGTATGCAATCAGTAACTGTTAAAGACTTTTGAACAGAAGCACCTTTAGCCTGAATGACTGAAGATACACTGCTCCCGTTACCTAGAATTGGGGATACAAGACATGTACACATTTGAAAAATTGTACACATGTTAAGGAATCCATTCTGAAGAGGCTTTCCTGGGGTGTTTTATCCAGGCAAATGTATATGCAAGACCAGAATTCATTAGAGAAGCATGAGCTATGGTGGTAGGTATTAGCGTTCCTGCCATGGATGTTACTGCTCAAAGTATGGAACTGGATGTGATTTAGGAAGAACAGCTTGAGTTTATGTAGAGAAGATGAAAGTATTTAGGTAATTACTCGGAAGCAGGAGGGAGACAAAATAACAATCTAAAATTAGAGGACAGGAGAAAGGGCCGGGTGTGGTGGCTCACACCTGTAATCTCAGCACTTTGGGAGGCTGAGGTGGGTGGATCACCTGAGGTCAGGAGTTCGAGACCAGCCTGACCAACATGGCTAAAACCCATCTGTACTAAAAATACAAAAAACAAAACAAAACAAAATTAGCTGGGCGTGGTGGAGTGTGCCTGTAGTCCCAGCTACTTGGGAGGCTGAGGCAGGAGAATAGCTTGAATCTGGGAGGGGGAGGTTGCAATGAGCTGAGATCGCGTCACTGCACTCCAGCCTGAGCAACAAGGGTGAAACTCTGTCTCAAAAAGAAAAAAAAAAAAAAAAAAAAAAAAAGGAAGACAGGAGGAAGAAGACAAACCCAAGGAAGCAAGTCTTTGCAGTGTTAAAAATAGAAACAGAAAAGTAGAGAAGTATTCCATAGAAGTTAAGAAAGAAAAAGATTGACAGAAAAAGAGGTAATGCTATCAAATGCATCAAAGAGATCAAAGTGAAGAAGCACCAAGGAAATATTGATATACGAACCTGTAGAGGGTGAGAATTTTTATACATGATACATATAATTCCCTGTCCTTTCACTGTTAGTTACATGCAAACTCTTAAGTTACATATATCAAAATATGTTACTCAAAGTGTACAATCCACACTTCATTCAGAAATGAAAGTGGCCATTTGGGTGGAGGATGTGATATTTATATACCTCTGCTCTTGGGTAATATTGTGACCCTACACCTCATTTCTAGGTCTATACTTTGTGGAGTTGAAGGAAGTACTAGGAATAAGTCCTCTGTGCCTTGGCAAGAAAAGAGAAACAGATGGTGTTTTCGTGTGTCTCATACAAGAGTGTGAGTGTGAGATTGGGTAGTATGTTTCATTGGTCTGGGCATAGTCTTCTCTTTCTAATGTTTTCTATGAGTTCCTTTTAAAGCTAAGAAATATCATATTTGCAAAAGAAATATAGTGAGCAGATCTGGGATACCATTGAAATACTCTTCCTTTTAACAAAAGTCTACTCTTTTAGGACAGTTTTTAAAATAATTTTCATTTTACCATAAATAATAGCACAAAATTAACAAAATAGGAAAGGAAAGAATAGGGATCAGACACATTTAGCAATGAACAAAGTTGATCAAATCATATATAACATTAGAAAGAAATTTGATAGACCTTGACCTAAAATTTTAAGTAGCATGAATTTCTTTTTAAATCTTTCCAGTTCTTATATTCTTTTTGATCAATAGCTTCAGTGATTTTCCTTCTGTTAGCCTCTGATATTTCAGAAGTGGAATTCTCATCTGCTGAGTTTTCTAAACTAGAGACTGAAGGTAAAGGGGCTGTATTTTGTCTTGCATGACCTTCCTAAGTACCACCTGGTTAATTTGGATTTGCTTTGTTTGACAAAAACAAGAATCTCTCTCAAAAAACAATGGTATTAAAAATGTAGGAAATTATTTTTCTGTAAGAATGATCTAGAAGTAGGAGGTCCAGATCAGGTTGTGCAAAATCCACAGAATCAGAAAACAAGAATCTTCCGATTTTATTCCTCCACTCATATAGCTTCAATTCTCAAGGTCACATAATCCTCTATGGCTGCTCAAATGCCACTATATCAGTATTCCCAGCAGCAAGAAAGAGGAAGATGGAAGAAGTGGGACTTCCCTCCCTTTTAAGGAGACCTCTGGAAATTATTCACAACACTTAAATTTCCTTGGCCAGAACTTGGGCATATGGCCAAACATGGTTGCAAAAAAGCTTGAAAAATGTAGTCTTTTAGGTGGGTGTCAATCTCTCCTTCGATGACAGGCAGAATAATCATGTTACTTTTCTATGCAAAATCTTTTCATAAACCTCCCATTAATGGATAATTAATTAATAATTCCTTGGTTTGGTGTTTGACTATAATACAATCCAGACAAACTTTTACAAATTTATTTTGCATTGCGTGTGTGCGTGTGCGTGCGTGCACGCACACACATACAAATATTTGTCATACTAAACTCAAAAATGCTTTGTGAACACACTCTTGCTTTATGTTTTCTATTGCTTTCTTTATAGTTTTTCTCACCTATAGATTCCTCTCTCCACTACTGCTTATTGAAATCAAAGATATGTGTCTCATCCCATGTATTGACCTACATATTCCCTGAAACACCTAATTTCTGCATGAGGTACAAAAAATGAACTGTAAAATTTAATTGAAATTACATTTACACAGAAGTTTTTGCCTGTTTCTTAAATTATATGGAAAAGAGCAAAATCACATGTAGAAATTTTTTTGGAATTAAGATTGTGGCATGTTTGAAGTATGGATTGTGGACACAAAGCAGAAGACCAAGGATGTCCTGATTGAAGTGGTTAAGTGCTGCAGTGGAAGTCAATGTCCTTATCCTCCTCAGGGAGAAGAGAGGAGTCCATTTGTGTGTGGAACCCAAAATTTCAGGAAAGGTATTCAAGCATGTTTGTAGGGATATCTAACCTGCGTCTCACTAGTTCATCTAGAAAGAGATTCTCTCCCAGCCAACATGATGACAGCATGAGCTGTCATCTCCTGTGATAATACCTTCTTCTGGAATACCACCTAAAGGAACTGCATGAGCCTGTTTTACAGGTAATTATTTTTTAATAAATAGAAGGCGTACACTCTAAAACAACAGTGAAAGATTTAGTAAATACATAAGCGAGTAACATAGTTGTTTATTATCATTATCAAGTATGTACTGTACATAATTGAATGTGCTATAATTTTATACAACTGGCAGTGCAGATTTGTTTACATCAGCATTCACCACAAACACATAAGTAATGCATTGCTCCATGACCTTAGGACAGCTACGATATCAATAGGTGGTAGGGATTTTTCCATTCCATTATAATCTTTTGGATCCTCCATCATATGTGCATCCATTGTTGACCAAAATGTCCTTATGTGGTACATGAGTGTGTTTAAATATTGGATGCCATAGATTAAAAATTAAAGTAAAAATCTTGCAAAATCACCGGGTCAAGGTAAGTCCAGAGAGACAGGTTCCAAGAGAAATGACAAGGTAGAAGTTCTTTTGTGGATTTAGGTACTATTTGACCTGCAGTCTTTGTGATCATACTCCCTGTCTTAGGCACCCTTATTTATAGGGCAACATTGTAGAAGAGAAATCCTTTTCTGTATGGGCAGGAAATTCTTTCAAAAGAAAAGGGAGTTACTGAGGTCCGTGTACTCAGTTTACTCTTTCCTTACTTACCAGTCGGGGTGGGGAAAGTAAAGAGACACTGAGAGCCCAGGGATATTACTACCATTCTGCTTCCTTGACATGGAAGGTAATAGAGAGAAGCTCATCCATTCCAACATGCCCCAGGTTTTTTTCTCTTAACCTATTAGACTTAAATCACCAAACTACGGTCAAGCAGAGAGTGGTCCGTCCCCGCCTCCCTCTCAGCCCCATAACTGTCCTATTTCTAACTTTGTGAAGGTCACTCCCTCAAAACCAACCACTGCCCACTTGTATCATTTCTCTTGGGAGCACTGTTGGGTATTATATGCTTTGTCCCCAGACCTCTATGCAGTGGTTCGGAAGAATACATTATTAAATCATCTCCATAATTTAAAAGCTGACATTTTATACCCTGTTCTATATTTTATCCAAAGTGTGTGCAGCCATATTGTCCAATGCTAATCATGTAAGAGATGCTGCATTGAGAATGAGTGCTGTAATGAAACACATAAATACCTCCCATCAACAAAATGACAGTCAGAGTCATACCAAATTTGTCCTCTGCATTTATTAAGTTCCCTAGGAGAAATTGAAGTTCAAAATTAGAATCCCCTTACACTAAAGGCCAAAGGTGATAATTCCAAAGGTATCAAATCTGAAATAAAACTGTCCTGTCCACAAAAATGAAAGCCCCAAATTCAAAATTCTTAGATCAGATTAAAATACAAAGTCATTCTCTCTGGTCTGTTATTCTGTTCATTCTTATTCAGAGGTTCTTAATACCTGGGTAAACTCTGGATTCCTCCCACAGCTACAGCCTGGAATATAACTCATTGGAATGAACATTGTTTGAGGGCCTCAGAAACTGCATTAATACAATGGATTCAAGGTTAGTCCTGCTAGAATATATTTTGTGGCCTTGGATGAAGTTGATGACTGTTGCTCTGACAAGCCTGATCAATAACAGTTAAAGTTAGAACCTCATTAGTGCCTTGTAGAGTAGTTTGGGGTCAGCCCTCTGGCTTTTCAAAGAAAATATTGTCCCATCTCTGAGATACAGCAGACCTGACTCAACTTTTCCTGTGGCTGCATCTCTCCATAAGGCTCACTCTGTACATCATTCCCATTTCTGCTCAGAGGTCACCTCCTCCGAGAGGGCTTTCGGGACCCTCATTTCAAATCACCCTTAACCGCATCTCTATCTTTTCATCACATATTACTGTCTAATGTTATATGTACATCTGATTTATCATACTTGCTATTAGAACATAAATGAAGGGTAAGGTCACTGTTGTCTTATCCTTGGCTGCATCCCAAGTGATGTGATGAGAGCAGCTCCTTGGACATAAGAGCCATCCTATCAGAGTCTGTGGAATGAGTTATTGGAATAAAAATCAAAACTCTCCTGTTAGATACTCATATACACCAACATCTTATCTCCATTCCTAAGGCAAAACTTCCTTTAATTCTGTTTAATTTTTTCTGTTTATTATCTTTATTTCTTAATATATCAACTTAGGATATTATTTTTGACAACCTGCTACAAATAATGAGGCTTTTTAGCTCAGTTTAGTTATCCTCCTGACTATTGTTAGCATTATTAGTTTGAAGGCCACAAATTATGTACTAAAAATTATTTTCTTCATCATAGCAGATGTTAAGAAATGATTCACTCAATACCCATTTTCTTTTTTTTTCTTTTTTTAAAGAAATGGCATACAAATTTATTAATGTGCACGGGGGAGAATCACAGAGTAATTATCCAAAAATCCCAATGGAGCCTAGATACCTATATAGCCTTTGTTCAGAGTGGAAGGGGTAGATGGGGAATATAGTCAACACTATTTTTTAAATTTAAATTTTTATTGGGGTACATGTGCAGGATGTGCAGGTTTGTTACATAGGTAAATGTGTGCCATGGAGGTTTGCTGCACCTATCAACCCCTCACCGAGGTATGAAGCCCAGCATGCATTAGCTATTTTTCCTAATGCTCTCCCTTCCCCCACCCCACCCACTGACAGGATCCAGTGTGTGTTGTTCCCCTCTGTGTGTCCATATGTTCTCATTGTTTAGCTCTCACTTATAAGTATTTGGTTTTCTGTTCCTGCGTTAGTTTGCTAAGGATAATGGCTTCCAGCTCCATCTATGTCCCTGCAAAGGACATAATCTTGTTCCTTTTTATGGCTGCATAGTATTTCATGGTGTATATGTACCACATTTTCTTTATTCATTCAAATTGATGGGCATTTGGGTTGATTCCATGTCTTTGCTATTGTGAATAGTGCTGCAATCACATAGGGTGCATGTGTCTTTGTAATTGATTTATATTCCTTTGGGTATATATCCAGTAATGGAATTGCTGGGTCAAATGGTATTTCTGGTTCTAGATCTTTGAGGAATCACCACACCATCTTCCACAATGGTTGAACTAATTTATATTCCCACTAACAGTGTAAAAGCTGTTCCTATTTGGCTGTGCCCCTTCCTGCTGCTTAAATTCCCATAAAGCTGGGAGTGGCAGCAGCCATTCTGTGGCCCTGGAGGAGAAGAAAGAAAGACTTCAGATCTTCATTAAATTACTGACAAGGTGTACCAGTCCAGGACTGAGACAGGCACATCCACGTGTATTCTCATTATTCTTAATCCTTGTTTTCCTGTTACTTGTAGTTGAACACATTACTAACTGATGTACTATTTAGTCAGTTTTGGACATAACTCTTGGCTTCCTATTATGCAAAATGAGGAAATAAGTTTCCCTGTATTTCTTTCCAGTTCTCTCTTCTGCCAATTTCTCTCAGCTATATCATTATTTTGCTATCAGAGTTTATAACTCTTACATGGTGTTCTATTATGGTAATCAGTTCTCCCAGGATTTGCCTTCAGAGTTCATCTAAAATTTGATAAATAATGAACATCAATATAATTATGTAAATATCAGTCACAATTAGAACCTCGTATTGTTATTGGATTCAGAGAAAAAAAATGTATCTCATAAAACCTGTGCAGCTCAAAGGAGAATCTTTTTTTTTTTTTATATTCTTTTTTTTTCTTTTTTTTTTTTATTATACTTTAAGTTTTAGGGTACATGTGCACATTGTGCAGGTTAGTTACCTATGTATACATGTGCCATGCTGGTGCGCTGCACCCACTAACTCGTCATCTAGCATTAGGTATATCTCCCAATGCTATCCCTCCTACCACCCCACCACAGTCCCGAGAGTGTGATATTCCCGCAAAGGAGAATCTTAAACTGCAGTAAAATGTAGTCTTGCAGTTGGTTTGCTGCATACATTAACCATGGCTTTCCTTTATTATTTTTTCTGAAGTTTTTGTCTTTATTTTTATTATTATAAAAATGCATTCTTCATCAAATCGCCAATTTTTAACTCAGTTTCTTAATCAACCTCCCCTTTGGATGTAAGTATTCAAGATTATTTTCAAATTTGCCTGTAGAGTTACACAAGTTCATTCTCTCAAGACCAGCCAATCACATTGCATTTTCTTCACCATCCATTCTACCACTAGAGATTTTTAAAATCTTTACCTACTTGATACATGTAAAAATATTAATTTAGTCACCAAATAGTCTAAACTGTTTAAAAAATTTTAAAATTTCTTTCTTTCAATTACAAGTTTGTGGCCTTTGTGCATTTTTCAATTAAGATAGCTACCTTTCTCTGCTATTTTTATAATTCTTTTACGTTGATTTTGGTATGCAAACTTTGTCATCTTATTACAAATATTTTCTCAATTTGCTCTTTGCCTTCTATTTTTATAGTAGACTTGTTTGATTGCATTGTAGTCTTTGTTTTTGATTTAATTCAAAAGTTTTAAGATAGAAGTTTATCAAATTAACAAATCTTTCCTTTATGATCCCTGTCTTGATGTCATTCTAGCTGAACTTGAAAATTAACTTTAAGTGATTTATTTCACAAATAGGCATTCACTGTGCTCCAGTTACTGTTAAGCAACATTTTAGATACAGAAAACAATGATTTATAAAACCATGTATTCATTCCTCATGACGTATAAAACAGTGTGTTCATTCCTCTAATGAAGCATATCTTCAAAATTAAGATTTTTTAACTTGTAATTCAAAGATCTCAAGTTAGTTTATGAACACCTATCTTTCAAGGTAATATTAGCAGGCTCTTGAGTTTAGGTTTGTGATGATTTTACAGATGGAAGCATAGCTCTCTCCTATGCCAATTTCTGGCAGCTCTCTTGATCCACAGTTATGGGAATTAAGTAGTCATACAAACACTTTCTTTGGACAGTTAGGGATTAACATTTTAAAAGAGTCTATACAATGTGTCAATTAAAATAAGTAAATAAAAATGTAAGAAATTTAAAATATAATGGTTGTATTTTCATTTCCCTTCTTTCCTATTAAGAAAATGCTCAGAACCTGCCCCTGCCTCCCCCCTCCCACTACCCAACACACAGATACACACACATTCTTGTAATCTTACCTGACTGCTTTGTTTCATCTTCCCTAAAATTAAATAATTGACACAGTTATTAATTTTCCAAATTATGGTGTTCATATTTGGTATTTTTTGCTTTGTTTTAAGAAGTTAAATTGTAATAAAGCAGAATAATTGGGCTGGGTGTGTGGTGGCTCATACCTGTAATCCCAGAGCTTTGGGAGGCCAAGGCAGGCAGATCCCTTAGTTTAAGACCAGCCTGGGCAAAATGGTGAAATCCTGTCTCTACTAAAAAATACAAAAGTTAGCCGGGCATTGGGAGTGTGCACCTGTAGTCCCAGCTACTCAGGAGGCTTAGGTGGAAAAACCACCTTAGCTTGGGGAGGTTGAGCCTGCAGTGAGCCATGATTGCACCACCACACCCAGCCTAGGCAGCAGAGTGAGACCCTGTCTCAAAAGAAAAAAAATGTCTTATGTCTTAATTAAAAAAAATAGATATATCTGATAGTTTTTGTTTGCTTATGTGTTTTCATTTGAGATTCTAAGTCTTTAGAAATATCAGAAAATACACCCTGATAGTTAACATTTATGTGAATGTTTCCAAAATGCAATTGCAGGCACTTTAACTCAGAGAAGAACAAATGGGCTTCTGTCCTGTGGTCTCCACAACGTGCTTCGTGAGTTAATTTTCTTAATATATTGCCTTTACAATACAGATAATAGTAATAACTATATTATGAAAGTTTTGTGAACCCCAAGTATGAAAAGACATAAAGTATTTAAGACAAAGCCTTGAAAATATGCAACAGCATAAATATTCACATTTATTATTATAAATTATTATTTTTAATAACTGTATAGTTGCAGGTCTTATTATAGTAATTTCCATTTCAATACAATTTGATTAAGTCCAAATTCTTTATAAACATAATGTTCAGGATGTATGTATCACATACATATATGATTTTACTAATTTAAAAAGCAAATGTTTTTTGAACGGAAAATGGAGAAAGCATCAATCTGAAAATGCATCAAATAGGTTTTCTTCTTCTATACATATTTTATTAAAACTGGCCATTCCTCTGGGTATTATTGCAAACTCAGAATAATGTAACATTCCCACCACTGTGAAGACATTATCATTTCTTTACCCTATAATGTATACAACAGTATGGTGACTCTGAACAGTTAGTAATAAATTCTCCTTTTAGTATTTTGTGCAGACCTAAATACAGTATAAGTACTTTGCTTCTTGCAAATATTTTTGATTAGTAATTTTAGCAAAGACAAAGATACTGAGCCACTGTATAGAATAATTATCTTAATTCTCTTACTTATATGTTCACAGATTACTTACTGGTTTCCTTGGTTGCTAATCTTTTATTGTGTTTCTCCTTGTGAAAGAAAGGTATGTTCAAATGAGAAACTTCAGTGAAACTGGCACTAATATGGCAAAAACAAAGTCTGTGATGGTAGCCAGTATCATGTGAGAAGAGATTCCAGACAAAACTGAATGAATTTAAAAAACATAACACTTGCTAACTTTTTTATTGCTTTAAATTTACAATCTGCCTTTTCTTCAAAGTATTGAGATATTGAGTATTGAGATGATAAAAATGAATAAAATTCATATTAAATTAATAATTCCCTCTATGAGATATTTACTATTAAAAATAAATGTTTGGAATCTAGATAACTTAGTTGACTAAGAAATATCTTTATATTGAGAAATGAGATGAGTGTGTGAAAACCTGACTTGGAATTCAACAATGCCAGATGTTATCCAACCTCTGCACAGGAATGGTATTCTGGACCTTTCTGTGAATGGGAAAAAAACGTTTTTTTCAGCTGGGAGCTTGGGATGCTTAAGAATTTTGATGATTACTCTATTGATACCAAATCATAACTAATTGAAGAGATAATTTTTTGCTCTAGAAATTTTAAAGCTAATTCTTTTGTCAGGTAGATTTCTCCAAGAATTGTGGCAGTTGGAAGGAAAGGATATAGAAATACATGAAGAGCAAATTCTTGTTTCATCTGTAAGTTTAGCAGAAATAGAAAAGACCAAGAAGCAAGCAAGCATGCAAACAAACAAACAAAAGCCAGTATGTTGTGTTAGTTTAGGTGAAAGCATTCTGGTTTTTGCACAACATACAAATTCAAAACTAAGTGTTGTACAACAACGACTATTTTATTATGTTCACAGTTGCTGTGAATCAGATCAGGAATTTGGACATGGTACACTGGGGATGGCTTATTTCTGCTCTATGATGCATAGGATCTCGAAGGCTTGGGGGCTGGAGTCATCTGAAGACTCACTCATGTGTCTGGTTCTTGATTTGGGATGACTGGAAGATTGGACCTGAGAGTCTACATATGACCTCTCTGTGTGTCTTCATTTCCTCATAAGATGGCCACTCTAGGTAGTCACACTATATGCATGGTAACCCAGAGCTCCAAGTATGAGTATTCCAGGGAACAAGGTAGAAGTTGCATCACATCATATGACACGATCTTGGAAGCCACACAGTCTCTTCCTCTGTGCTCCATAGATTGAAGCAGTCACAAGCCTTCCCAGATTCAAGTGGAGGGGGCATAGATAGCACTTTTTAATGGAAAGACTGGCAAGCTTACGTAGAAGAGCATGTGGAATGGGAGATATTTAGGGGGGCATCTTAAATATACCTTTGTGCTTTAGAATATCTTTATGTTTTCAAAGTTACTGAATTGTGTTCTTGACTATGTAACATATTAAAATAAAGATTTTAAGCACATTCAGCTTAAAGAAGAGAACAGTAAAATAAGTAACAATAAATATTTTTTCAAATAGAAAGAGATTCTACTGAAGGTAACAGCTTCTCCACTAAGAAACATAAAAAGAAGTGAAGTTAAATTTTGTATGAGTGAAATTGTTCTGATCCTAAGAGCTATTGAACTTTGACATAAGGCTGAAGGAGTTTGCAGAATCAAATTAGCATAGCCTGAAGTACTGCTCTCTCCCCACTCTGTAATTGATTTACAAGGGAAGAGCAGACAAAGTCATCTGCCTTATGCGGCATTGCTCACACTCATGTTACTAAACAATAAGAAAAGGGGTCATTTCACTCTTATGCCTTCAAAGGAGAACACATTTTTCTGTGCTTTTTCTAGATTAATAGATACTTAATTTTTAAAAACTTTTAACTTTTCTGCAAAGGTTAGTCATCATATGATAAGAAAAACCAAACAGACTGCTGCCTCTCCAGGGCGTCTATTTCACTTAGCTTTGCAAGGTGGGGAAATTAGTAGCATGAAAAAAATAAACATGCAAAACTGCCTGCAATTTTCATATAAATAGACCTTAGTTTAGGGTGACAAAGTCAATTGCTTTCCAAGTTAAAGTTCTGATGACTTCTGGGAATGAAGAGACCAGACTTTTTCTGGGAGCTGTGTTGGGGAAGGATGGGTAATAGCAATAGGACTACATAGGTATCAATGGGACCACTAGTGGGGCATACTAAGCTGCCCTGCACTTACTTTTTAGGGGCAGATGCAAAACTTAGGAAAACCAAAGCTTTCTTACAGCAACTATCCTGGGTTTTTCCTCCTGTAACAGACAATCATACCAACCAGGATCTGGGACTGCTACAGAAACAAAAACCTTGTGGGAACTCCACTTTACTTTATGATTGAATGAGATACCTGCCTACCCGTGAGCTTCAAGACGGAAAGGGAGAGGATGCGGGCTTGTGCTTTATAGGCCAGTTTTCATATTCTTGAAAATCATGTGGAAACTCTGAAGCAATTATTCTTGCTATCTCTTTTGTCAGTAGAGTTGACCATAGATCCACTGAAATTAGTTTATGAAGATATCTGAGAAAAAACAGTTGGATGGAGTAGGATATAGATGTTTGGGTGTTAGACTTATGCTGTATTCACATCTACTATTTACCAGCTGTACAGAGCTGAACAATGTACTGTAAGGAAGAGAAATTATCTATGATACTTGCTAAAGATGGCAAGGCAGGTGTTATTAAAGGACTAAATCATTAGGTATAGGGACCATCCCAACAACGTCTTGCAGTAGGGCAGAGAGATTGGACCCAACTCTAACTCCAAAAAAGACAAGTGAGAATTTATAATCAAGGAGCAGGGAGGTGGTCAGTGGATGGAAAATCACTAAGAGGTAACATGAAGGATAAGAGGTTTATGGCTAAATTGACTTGATAGGATTATGCTTGTGTGGTCAGATATCGAGGGAAGGAGATTTTAATAAACCCACTTAGCAGGATTCCTGCTCAAACTGGATTCATGAGGACAGAGAGGAAAGCCCAAGGCTGAGCCTGGTGAAGCCTAGTCAGAGGATCCTGACTAAAATTTTGGTCAAATCAGATAGTCTTTGTCAACACTTAACTTTCCTGACCCTCAGTTTCCTCTTCTTTAAAACCACAGAGTAATATGGATTAAAACAAAGAGGAGGAAAAGTGCTTGGCCCAAATAATAGAAACTTAATGGTACATGTTATATGCTTTACTACTTTACATGCAAAATGCTTTTATATTGGTTTTTGGAAAAAGTCACAGAGTTGGATAATATTATGGATATAGAAATAAAAGTTAACTTTAATAGTTAAAGCCATTCTAAGCCAAATTCCTTGATGTCTCAAAAGAAAAAGTTAATTGTTCTGAATTCTAGCAACTGTTTATTTTTATTTCTTGAATTTCCATTCATTCTCATGGCTTTGATATAATTAATCCATACATAATTTTATTACAATTATTTTACAAGTACAAATTAATAACAGAAAGGACTCATTACACTTTTGCACATTATTTTTACAATGTCCTTATTGTATAAATACTTTTGCTCTCTGTGAAAAGCAAAACACTATTTAAAAACCTTCTTATATAATTATTTGTTTTGGAGGAAGAATGAATATTAAACGTCCTATTTTTCTAAGATGTCAATTAAATGAGAATTTTGTCTCTTATTATCAAGTATTTAGCGTCCCAGAAACAAATGGAAAGAATAGACTATAATATTCTGGGATATTAAAAAAATCTCTTTAGCAAAGTCATGTGTATTGTTAATTTCTCTTTGACAAATATAGACCATGATTTAAATTTTTATTGTTCTTTCTGAAATTGTTCTATTCTTAGTACTTTCATAAAGATTAAAACTCTTTCTCTATCCATGCACTCAAGAGACATTTTTTAAAAATTTAATTGAAACTCTTAAAGCGGAAAATTCCATGAAGTATTTTTAAACTTACCTAATAAGTTTATCAATATAGAGTCTAATTTCCTCATTTAGATTTAAAGAAATTGAAAATCTGAGTAAGAGTATATTTCAATAGACAAGTAGAGGTTTTTGTATAGTGAGAAAATATTTTGTGCAAATTCAGATTTTAAATGTTTAATGCTTTTAGGTTTCATTTGCCTCATAATAAGAATATATTTCAAAGCTTTAAATGTGCTGGTATTTAATTTAGTGTTTTGTTTTTGACTTTGTAAATAAATTTATTTCAGTCTAGATGCTGTGGAGAGTTCATGCTTTGATATACCTCCTTTAGTATAAATATATAACAATAATGAATAAAATATAAAAAGAGAAAACAAACAGAAGGTAGGTATAAATAGACACAAAAGCAAAAGCAAGTCATCCTGGTATAAACTATCCAAAGCACATCCATTTGAAATGTCAAATACTGTAGACTAAGAGAAGTTTCCCAACTTTCAGGTAGGAAAAAATAGGCTGCACACAGAGAAGTACAAATTGGAATACCTTTGTTTTTCCCTATAGCAACACTGGAAGTTATCTAGACAATGACTTCAACATTCTGAAAGAAATTTATCTCTTAACTACAATTATATACCCAAACAAAATGTCAATAGTGTTAGTAGGAAAATAAAGACATGAAGCTCCTAGAAGACATAATCCACCAAACAAGGGAGTACACCAAGAAAGAGGAATAAATGTGACTTAGGAAACAGCATCTGAAACACAGAAGACAGAGAATCCACAGGATGATTGTGAAGACAGGTTACAGCATGTAAGCTGTGTACTAGGAAAACAGAGTAAAAAATTCAAATGAGTTCAAACCAGAAAACTCTGGAATGGACTCAGAATAATGAAACTAATCGAATATTTAATATATTTCAATGTCAGGAGAGAAAAATAGATCAACTGAGAAAGACATATTGAAAAAAGGGGTCCCTTCCTCTGTGCTAAAGAAAAGTAGCCATAGTTACCTGATGTGAAAAGCATGTGCCAGTCATAAGCATATGAATGCTCAAAACTTATGAGACAAAAATTGTAGCTATTGGGGAGGTTGAGAAGGAGAAGGGTACTAGTTTTCTACTGCTTATAACAAAGTACCACAAATTTGGCAGCTTAAGATAACACCACTTATTATCTCACAGTTTTCGTTGGGTAGGAGTCCAAGCTCAGCTTATCAAGAACCTTTGGTTAGATTCTCACAAAGCTTCATTTAAGGTGTTGGCTGGGCTGCCTGGTCATCTGAGGAAAGACCCACTTCCAAATTCCCTCAGGTTGTTGGAAGAGTTCATTTCCTTGTGGCTGTAGAATTCACGGTGGCTTGTTTCTTCAAGGTCATTAGGAAAGAATCTTTGACCTCAGGGAGTGCCCCATTCCCTCTTGTAAACAATTTCACATGATAAATCAAGCCTACCCAAGATATTCTCCCCAAATTCATTTTTTTGGGCCTTAGTCACCTTTGCAAAAATCTTTCACCTTTGTCATAATCTATGGGCTAGAAGAAAGCCACAAGTGTTCTTCTTCCACTTGGGGTGAGATTATGTAATAGTGTAACTCATAGGGGGTTGCTTTAGGGTGTTAGTCCATTTTCACACTGTTGATAAAGACATAACTGAGACTGTGCAATTTACAAAAGAAAGAGGTTTATTGGACTTAAAGTTCCACATGGCTGGGGAGGCCTCACAATCGTGGCAGAAGGTGAAAGTCACATCTCACATGGCGGTGGCAAGAGAGAGAATGAGAGCCAAGCAAAACAGGTTTCCCCTTATGAAACCATTAGATCTCGTGAGACTTATTCACTACTACAAGAACAGTGTGGGAAAGAGCCACCACCATAATTCAATCACCCACTACTGGGTTCCCCTCATGACACATGGGAATTGTGGGAGTTACAATTCAAGATGAGATTTGGGTGGAGACACAGCGAAACCATATCAGAGTGTGTCTTCCACAAAAGACTATGTGCATGTGTGTCACGAAGGCAGAAAGAGGAAGGAAAGCTAAATTTTCACTCTCTGTAATGATAAGTCAATATTGATAATGCTTAACACTGAAAAAATAAGTAGCAATATGAGCATTTTATTGAGCGGTGTGGAGGCAAATACTAAAATTATCTGCTAGGAGAGGGAAATGTGGTTTTCTCTGAAAAGAAAGACATGGGAGAGCAATGATGGCAACTGTTACTTTCCTAGGAAACTGCATTACTATTTAACGGTCTTAAATTAGATAATGGCATAAATTTTTTCTTTTTTTTTTTTCTTTTTTTTTTTTTTTTTGAGACAGGTTCTCATTCTGTCACCCAGGCTGGAGTGCAGTGGCACAATCACAGCTCACCACAGCCTCGACCTCCTGGGTTCAAGAATCCCCTTGCCTCAGCCTCCTGAGTAGCTGGGACTACAGGCATGTATCACCATGCCCAGCTAATTTTTGTATTTTTTTTTTTGTAGAGATTGGGGTCTCACTATGTTGTTCAGGCTAGAAATTTGATAAAAATAAAAATGTTAGAGGAATAGAGTGAGACTTTTCCATAATTCAAGAAAGACCGACGTTCTTGGGGAAGATATCCTTCAAGTTACAGGCAGGAAAAATAAAAATAAATGTAATAAGATGGATATCATTGGAGCTGCAGAATATCTGTACAAGTACAGAGGCTTCTTATATGAATTAAAATATATGTTTCAAAAAATGCTTGGCACATAAAAGTAGACAATAATATCAAGGATAAGAAAAAAGAAAACCTTAAAGTTATTACACATGAAAATCAGATCATCTACCAAAAATGACAATTAGATTTAGAACAGACCTCTCAATAAAATAAATGTCAAAAGAAAATGGAGAGGCATATTAAACATGTCTAAAAACTGTTAACCTGTCCTTCTATACTCCCATAAACTGGAATTCAAGAATTAGGTTAAAATAGGAACATTTCTAGACATGTGACGATTAACAGTGTACCACTCAAATATTTTTCACTAGCAGAAATATTAAACACAGAGAAAGTGTGGAACATAAAAACAGCTGTGAACATGAAAATTAAATTTTTAAATATCAATTAATTATATTATCAATTACAATTTCCAGTGTAGAAGAGAGCCCCAAGATTAATAATGATCAAGATTTATAAAACCATGAAATATCATTTCAAACCTGTTGGTTAGGAGTAAGTAGAAAAAATAGAAAGAAAACCAAATCTGACAGTAATGACTGTTGATGAGCTTGTTGAAAAATAGGAATGCTCATTCAATGCTGAGGTGGATGAAGATATGTTGTTTCTACCATGTTGCAAAGCAATTTGTCATTAATTAATAAAGTTGAAAATATGAATACACTCCCACTAACTAGTATAACACTAAAGAAAATTTGATTTTATATTCAGAGTCTTGTACAAAAATGTTAATTGCAATATTGTTTACAATAGTGCAAAACTGGAAGCAACCTCCATATCACACAGCATTAAGTTTTGAAGGTTAATGCAATAAAATATTATACAGTACTGGAAATGAATAAATGTTGGCTATAAATGACACTAGGAAAATCACAGACATAATTTTGAATATAAAATGTGGCTGCAAAATTGTACTTAAAATAATATACCTTTAGGTAAGGTGTAAAAACATATAAAATAATATTTCACAGTATCTATGGAAATTGCATTTGTAGTAAATATATAAAAGATGCATGAGAATATGAATATCAAAATCAAATGAATGGTAATTTCTAAAGAATGAGACAAATGGAATTGGTGAGACAAATGAAATTGGTTAGACATGGTTTCAACTTAACCTATGTAAAATAAAATTAGGACTTACTCAAAGTGAGCTAAGGCTGAGATAACCAATAATTTTAAAAAAACTAATTTCAATGAAAAGATACACAGAAAATAAAAGGCTCCTTTAAAAGATAACCAATATTTAGAACTTAGCTTCATTATAACAATCAAGGTGATTTAAAATTTTAAAAAATGCTGGTATCATCCCTCATGAGGATAGTTTTAGTCCAACCTGTCTTCTTTCTTGTAGAACCTCACAACAATGTTTATACTTAACATTGCTTTTTTTCCTCAGGTACTGAACTTTGTGGACTGTATTAATTTGTTCTCAGGCTGCTATAAGGATACACCCAACACTGGGTAATTTATAAAGAAAAGAGGTTTAATTGACTTATGGAGTTCTGCATGGTTGGCAAGCCCTCAGGAAACTTAGAATCATGGTGGAAGTGGAAGCAAAAATATCCTTCTTCACATGATGACCAGAAGGAGAAGAATGTGCAAAAGCGGGGAAAGCCCCTTATAAAACCATCAGCTCTCATGAGAACTCACTCATGATCATGAGAACAGCATGAGGGAACTGCCTCCATGATCTAATCACCTCCCGTGAGGTCCCTCCCCCAACATCTGGGGATTACAATTTGGATTACAATTCAAGATGAGATTTCAGTGGAGACACAGAGCCAGACCATATCATGGATATATCAATTAATTGGATGGAAATTCTTTTATATAAATTGATAAGGCTTAGCTGTGTCCCCACCCAAATCTCATCTTGAATTCCCACATGTTGTGGGAGGGACCTGGTGGGAAGTAATTGAATCATGGGGGCAAGTCTTTCCCATGCTGTTCTCATGATAGTGAATAAATCTTATGAAACCTGATGGTTTTTTTTTGTTTTGTTTTGTTTTGTTTTTTTGAGATGGAGTCTCGCTCTGTCACCAGGCTGGAGTGCAGTAGTGTGATCTCGGCTTACTGCAACCTCCACCTCCCAGGTTAAAGCAATCCTCCTGTCTCAGCCTCCTGAGTAGCTGGGACTACAGGAGTGTGGCACCACACCCAACTAATTTTTGTATTTTTAGGACAGACAGAGTTTCACCATGTTGGCCAGGATGGTCTCGATCTCTTGACCTTGTGATCCACCTGTCTCGGACTCCCAAAGTGCTGGGATTACAAGCATGAACCACCATGCCTGGCTGAGATCTGATGGTTTTAAAAAAAGGAATTCCCCTGCACAAGCTCTCTCTCTTTTCCTGCTGCCATCCATGTAAGATGTGACTTGCTCCTCCTTGCCTTCTGCCATGATTGTGAGGCTTCCCCAGCCATGTGGAACTGTAAGTACAGTTAAACCTCTTTCTTTTGTAAATTGCCCAGTCTCGAGTATGTCTTTATCAGCAGTGTGAAAACGGACTAATAACATAAATGCTTTATAAAATAAGTTGGCAAGGCCTCCTTCTCTTCCATTGCTAGAATATGAAACACTTGTGAGATTATTTGAACAAGGGGGGAAAAAAAACTGTCAAGATGTGGCAAGGGGAAGATTGGTTCAAATGTGAGGGCAAATCCCAGAATGCTCCAAATGTGCAAATGGCAGAAGAAACTTGGCACAGGTGCCACAGGGAATTGGCTGGTGTACTACAGTGGGAACATCCAGGTGGGTCAAAATCTCTTCCAACCCTTTCCACTTGGGTCAAGTGGCAATAAGCTGAGATGTCTGCCATTACGCATGGGTGCTGAGTGTGAGGCTTGAGTAGGAAAAAGAATGCAGAGACTTGGGCGACTGGTGTGATATCAGGAAGAACGGGGAGCACCAGCGCCAGAAGACCACATAGTGGCACATGCTGGTGGGCTTCACATTATTATGAGACTCAGTTAACTCAAGAATAGAAGTCACCTCAGCAACTAGCCAAGTTCAAAACCAGGAAACCACAACACTAAATCGCTTTCTCTGAGATTTGACTACATAGATATGTAGTGCTCAACTCTTACTCTGAAATGAAAACATATTCCAATATAGGAACTTTTTGGAAGCTGCAACTGATAGCTCAAGGTCCTTCCAGAGAGAAATTCTATTTGTTGTAGGTCTACTTTACTAATCCTTAGTGAAGCTTGGTGTTGGGTAAGACTTCAGACTCAAGGGAGTGTTCCTTCACCATTCAAGTATTTGAATTGATTGAGCAAGAACTATGTGTCAGATCCATTGAAACCTGATGGCAGCTCTCATTTGTTAGATGGGGAAACTGAGGTACACAACTAAAAAGTGGAGGTAGAAATAGGGTACAAAACAGGCATTCTCAGCCTGGAGCTGCTAAGTTTAAACACTTAAAAGATGGCTCAAGGATCAACAGAAATTAGTAGCTGAAAACAAAGAAAGTAGGAAGGTCCTTTTAAGTTACGTAGATTTTCTCTGCTGAAAATTAGTGAGGTGAAGTAAGCAGGGAACTTAGGCAGGGTTTTAACAATTAAACAGCCACCCCAGGAAATGGGAAAGACAAGGGGCAGTAAAGCTGGATTTAGTACCAATGAACATTTGGACTCTAAATAGAATTTATTCAGTGTTATTATCCTGACCAGATTAAAGTTAATCCATTCTGAATTTATTTTGGCTAAGAAAACTTTGATGCTTTGATCACCAAAACAAATATTTTTATGCATGTATTTCAGAGTAAGATTGTGATTTAGTCAGTTTTCATGAGGATACATTTTTATATTCTGTAATATATTCTTGCGTGTGTGTGCTTGTGTGTGTGTGTGTGTGTGTGAATTTGAAATGGTTGACAAGTTCTTTAGTTTCAGAATTTCTCAAGTAATTGGTGTATATATCCAAATAGGTCATTTGACCTTAACTAATGCCTGAGTATTTTCCTGTTATCACATACCAGATTCGTTTAGTGTTTTATATCTGGAATATTTCCTTTAAGCAGTTCAGAAATGTTTGAGATGTTTTCTATTTCTCTGCTTTCAGGATTTAAGGAGTTATACTTAGAGATCAAAGACGTGGATTACACTGATAAGTAGGTGGAGAGGCGATAGTAAATCAATAATTAAGATGGGTTTATTGGAAACAAGTATACAAACCTCATTACTTCTAGGAAACTGTGTTTGATTACTTGATAAAGGAATACTATATTATTTGCCTTTTTCATTTCTTAAATGAAGTCTCATTTAAATGACAATGTTTGCTGTAGTAATTAGCAAATATATTTAAAACATGAATTTACTTTCAACACACAATTTGAGCACATTTTATTTATAATTGTAATTATGTTTTCAAACTGAGGAACATTTTCAAAATGAAATGCTATATGCTGAAATATTTCACTCTTCTACCCTGATATTATTTGAGGACATCTAATCTAATCTCTCTTTACATTTTAAAATAGTTTTGTACAGATGGGGAATGCAAAGCAGAGGATTTTTACTTAAGCCTAAATACCATGCTTAGGTGATCATCACTCTTACTTGCATTTCTAAATTGAAATTACTTGAGTTTATTTGAGCAACATTTATAAAACAGCATCTGAAGATAAACAAATGCCATGATCATCTTCCCAAAGAGGAGGCAAATTGGCTTGCAAAAGAGAGACAGAACAACATGCCAGGCACTGTAACTTGTTTTTGATTTTGCTGCTGATAGAGTGTAAGTCCCCAGAGCATAGGATAATGTTTGAAGTGATGGAACATATTTTCCCACTAATTCCGTATATCACTACCCACATCAGATACACTCTCCAGCAGTTTACTATTAGTCTATTAGTTGTACACATGGAATTTAAATAGCTAAGGGCCAATCTCCTTCCAGAGGACATTGCAAATCTCACGACTACTAATTGAAATTATATGGTGAGGGCCAGCTTTCCTTCTCCTGCTACTTTGTGCTTAAGTATCTGATTATTATCCATCAATAAGCTGCAGTGTTACATATGCTGCCTTACCTAGCAATCACAAAGAGCAAGATTGAGGCAAGGATGCACCGGTTGTTTGTTTCAGTGCATGTTGAAAATGGAGCAACTTGCAGCATTCATACAATATCAAGTATTTTAACATAGGAAAATACTGAGGAAAGAGGATAGATCTTATCCTTTTATGGTGCTGTTCATTCACTAAACAAGTATTTATGGGGTCTACCTTGTGCTAGCACTAATCTAGGCACTGGGGAAGAAACAGGGAAGCAAAGAGAAAGACAATCCTCATCCTCATGGAGCGTATGCTAAACAAAATATCAAATAAAACATATGTTTAAGTTATACAACATAAAATATAAATAAAATGGAAGGAAGAACTAGAACAGAATGTAGAATTTTTCTCTGGAGAAAAAGGAGTTAGGGCGTGATGTGAAGGCAGGTGTTCCATTAGGATGGATGGGAAAGGCCTCGCGGAGAGCGTGACATGTGAGTGAAGCCTCAAGCCAGTTGCAGGGACTCAGGGGGAGCAGATTGCAAGCAGAAGGAAGGAAAACAATAAAGGTCCCAAAGCAGGAGTCTGGCTGGTGGAACTCAAGGAAAGTGCATAGTAAGAGGGGAGAGTAATAGAAGATGGGGCCAGGAGAGTGGCAGAAGCATGGATGCGGGGCCTTGTAGGCCACTTTAAGGACTTAGACTGTTCTGTGACAGAGAAAGAAAATCATTGGAAGCTTTTAGGCAGCTACCTGACACAGTCTGTCTTACGTTTTAACAAAATGACTCTGACTGTGTGGTAAAAATAGATTTTAACAAAAGAGCAAGGCAGGAGCAAGGGAGGACAGCAGAGGAGGTCACTTGCTCTCCCTCTTCTTCCTGCTCTGCGCCTCAGAAGGCCAACCTGTATGATATATATTAACTACTAATTGGCTTCTTTAAACTCCAGCTTGCAGTTGTGTTCAACTAATGAGAGGCACTCACAAGGGAGATTGGGAGGAGAGTGAAATTTATGTCCTTATTACCTTTTCCCTCTGTCCCTCCAGGTTCCTGAGGATTGTGTGTCCATCAGCTAGCACCACAGTCCCTTCCAGCAGCCGTCTCATGACTCTTTGAGTCCAAAACGCAACGTCTCTTTGAAAGTGCCAGCACTGGGGACCACACAATCCCTTATTGATTTTCTAATATATGCTTACAACATTGTAAATGGTCTCTTTATTAAATCCTTCTTAATTAGTCATATTTGCCATCTATTTCCTGCCTGGAATTACCTCATGCATCAGATAGAAGACTATGCAGTATTCTAGGAAAGATAATGGTGACTTGTTTCAGGGGGATAGCAGTGGAATTGGTGAGAAATGATTGAATTATTGACCTGTTTTGAAGTCAGAACCTACTGTATTTATTAATGAATGAAATGTGAAATGATATTTAAAAACATCTAAGTGATGCCTACATTTTTGACCTGAGAAACCTGAATGATGGAGTTTCCTTTTGGATACAGTCTTTTGAAATTCGGAGAAACTGAGCTAGAGATATAAAATTGGAAGTTATCTGTAGTGATGGTATTTAAGTCTTGATATGGAATATGATCGCTAAGTGATTGAGTGTAGATAGAAAAGAGAAAAGAAGAGATACAAAGACTGACCCCTAGAGTAGCTGAATATTCAGAGATTAAGTGAATGAAGAGAAACCTGCAAAAGAGAATGAGAAGAAATTACCCAAGAGGTAAAAGGAATTCCAGAAAATTGTGATCTTCTGGAAACTAAGTTAAGGAACTATAGGGTGAGAATAAATAGACTGCTCTTTAAGGTTTTGAGAAATTAATGCTTTCAGTGTAGATTATTAAAATTTAGAAAAAATATATGTATATACACAAATATTTTTATGTGAATTAAAAACCCTAAAAAGGTATATTAAAATGACATTCCTCAAATGATAATGGCTTTATAATTACATGTATTTCAGCTGTCCTCAGTCACCTGAAACTCAACTGTGACCATCTCAGAAGACAATTTACAATTAAGAATTGGACACACTTGCACCTTCACAGCTTAATATCCTGTATATTGTCTATCTACACTGTATACTCCCACAGAATTCAAGTGTCAGGAAAGAAAGTTAAAACTTATTTACCCAAAGAAGTACAAGTTTCCACATCAGAGAAAAAAATAACTGAAGGAAACCAACTTAGTGATTCTAAGATGGGATTGTTCCCTTGACCCCCTTCATGGGTGGGAACTGGAATGTCTCCTTTCACTCAGCCCGCAGCTGACCACTCCTTGCGAAAGGGAGCGTGTGAGCAAGCAAGTGTGGGAACCAGAGGGAATGAACACTGGAAGTGGCCAGTTGCTCCTGTCTGGTGGGAGCAGGCTCTGTGCGGGCCCCACAGCAGCGTCCAAGCCCCTGCCCTCTGGGCACTGGCATTCTTGTCCTGTGTCCAGGAAGAATCAGTTCATACAAATTGAAGGGTAGTGTATGTGAAGGATTTTATTGGGTGATGGCTCTCAGTGGGATGGGGGCACCTCCTGCTTAAAACCCAAAAGTCAGAAGGATTGTGAGGCCTCACTTTCGTGGTCTGTATTAGTAATGAAAATCAAGATTAAGTGAGCTTTTGCCTTTATGCTCCACGGGAGGTTTCTGAACTCCCTGAGCTCACCTTAGGAGACCTGTGTTACCAGAGGTGGAAAGGGGATGGTGCGGGAAGAACGTGGTCTTTCCCTGAAGCTGCACTGTCTGAAGTTAGCCACGTTTACCCATAGTCTTTGACTTTAGTTGCTGCTTCTCTGCTTGCCACTCAGCTGCTTGTATCCCCAACGCTCAGCAACTTGTATCCCTGACCGCTTGCATCAGCTGCTTGTGTGGCTCTGCTAGCTGAGGTCTTTTTATGGGCACAGGATAGGGGTGCGGCAGGCCAAAAAGGTGACATTTGGGCAGAAAAACAAGGCCAGCTGTTTTCACTTAGAGCCACGGTTCTGGGCTTAAGGGTAGGGTTTAGCCAGGAGCCCAGCCATTCTGTATCAATTCCTCAGAAAAAATTCATAAATATAATGATTTAAAGGAGGGGTGGTGAGGGGCACTACCTATCAGTCCATCCCAAACAATTAAAAAAAAAGAGAAACAAAAAAAGTCACCTGTAGGGGGAGCCCAAATGGATTTCAGCAACATAGTTCTAGTAATTGCAATTAATTTAGAGAAGACTTTCAGGTAAAGATAGCAACTGTAGATTATTTTTCACGGCCTTAAAGTTCTTACCTCTCCATGTCATTAAAAGTATTTTAAAATAACTAGTAATTAATTTACGTAAGTAAAAATTTTCAATAACTTATTTTCTTGAGTTTTAATTGACAAGTTTTTCAGCTCAGTGGAAATATCACTTTTTCTGAAGATATTGTTACACAAACACTTGTGTGTGCTACATTTCTGTAATTAAATTATTTTGCAAAATGAGCTATTGCTGTGTAAATGATTAACTTCAAAACCAAATTCAGTGTTACATTAGTGAAGTGTCTTCCTATGGGACTTGAATTAGAAAGCTAACAGGGATGATGCAATTTATAGAATAAAATTTCTATTTTCTATATGCTAGTTTTAATTATCTGCACACAAGGGCCAAGGTGACTAATAAAAAAATTGATATTTAAAAATTGATTCATGGCCGGGCATGGTGACTCACTCCTGTAATCCCAACACTTAGGGAGGCGGAAGCGGGAGGATTGCTTGAGTCCAAGGGTTTGAGACCAGCTTGGGCAACATGGTGAAACCCCGTCTTTAGTGAAAATACAAAAATTAGCTGGGTGGGGTGGTGCATGCCTATAATCCTAGATACTTGGGCTGCTGAGACTGGTGGATGGCTTGAACCTGGGAGGTGGAGGTTGCAGTGAGCTGAGATTTTGCAACTGCACTCCAGCGTAGGTGATAGAGTGAGACTCTGTCTCAAAGAAAAAAACACTGATAAGGGGAAGTTTGCCTTTAAGATGATAAACAGATTTAAATATTAAAACTCTGATTAAAGATTTCAGGCTTAGTGGAATTGCATATTATCCTGTAGATTTTTTGTGTAGTAAATAAGAAGTTTCTGTTCAGTGGAAAAGATAACCTCAAAGATAAGACACCGGCCAGTTTGGTTTATAATCTAGCAAACTGACTCTACTATTATTTTATTAAATTTACAATGAAGTCTTAATATCTCAAAATGTACTTTGAACCACGCTTAATATTTTGCTGTTTTCCTCATTAATTAGTGAGTTAAATTCTATAAATGTGTGTATGTTAAATTTACATGACAGTCATGGTTTTACATTTTTGAAAATTATATATATATATATTTTAGATGGAATCTGGCTCTATTGCCCAGGATGGAGTACACTGGCGCAATCTTGGCTCACTGGAACCTCTGCCTCCTGGGTTCAAGTGATTCTCCTCCTTCTGTTCCCAGAGTAGCTGGGATTACAGCCATGTGACACCATGCCCAGCTAATTTTTGTACTTTTAGTAGAGACGGGGTTTCACCATGTTGGCCAGGCTGGTCTCAAACTCCTGACCTCAGGTGATCCACCCACCTTGGCATCCCAAAGTGCTAGAATTATAGGCATGAGCCACCACGCCCAGCCTGAAAATTATATTTTAGTAGCAGTAAACAATAAAACTAGTAAGTGATGAAATGATGGAATCAGAATATCATTCTGCTTCACAACTCCTAATGAATTAAAGGATATAGGCAATAATCATCAATTGCTGCTATACCACCTACGAAGAGTTTTGCCAAAAATATTGAACCTGGAATCTGTAGACATGGGTCAATAAATAAACTAGGTTTCAGGACAATTTGAAGCATAACACTGCTACTATTAATAAAAAAGATAGTCTTTCAAAATTTCACCCTCTCTCTGTCCTTTGCTGTTCAAGCTGGCAATTTCTGCAGGCTAACATTCTCCAGAGCCTTGTAGGTATCTTAGGTTTTGGGATTTACTTCAATAGTCCAGATCTCCTCCTCCCTGATCTTTCCTGGATAATCCCATCTCTATTCCTGATGTCTGCTTAGATGGTTGAGTGGATTTATGAATCCCATGCTTAATCTTCTCAAAGAGACTTGAGTGTGACTGAATACTTTGACATAGTGATTTCTCTGAAGTATTAGCGAAAGGATTTTCAGTAACACACTCACTTTTTTCTCTAAAGCATGTTTTTCAGAGAGTGAATCTCTTAATTTTAGCATCTTTTGAAATATGATTAGACAAAGAATTTCCTAAAATGTCAAGTCCTGGTTCTTTTTTGTTTAACAGTTCTTCCTCAATTATCTCTTTCCTCTCACATTTTAAGATGAACAGAAAGAAACCTATTCACACCTTCAACACTTTGCTTGGAAATCTGTTGAACTAAATATCCAAGTTTGTTACTCACAATTTCTGCTTTCTACCTAACTGCAGGACACAATTCTACTAAGCCACTATGTGAAAAGGATTTCCTCATCCAGACATTTAAAGAGAGCCTGCAGATTAATGAAATAACAAAAGAAAAAAATACGGAGGGAAGCACAATTAAACCGACAGCCAACCTCCCCCAACCCCCAACATGTTTAACTGTCTACAAAAATTCAGGAATACATTGTGTTCTATCTATAGAAAACAAAGAAAACGTAATAAAGAGAATGATGAAAGAGCTGAGGATTTCCGATCTAGGTGCTCATTTCCTCTGAGTCCTCACCCGCAGTTCCTTCAGTGTCTGCATTTCCACCAGCAGTCTGCTGACAGTTTAGTATTCTCTGAAGTGATATGTCTCTTTACCAACCATGTTCCTCACTTCCTTGTGAATCCTTAATAGCAGAGTGATTATCATCCATAATTCTCGTAGGGTCTGTTAAGGCACTCCAGGCCTTTTCTCTCATGCTCTTCAAAATTCTTCCAGTCTCTGGCCACTACCCAATTATAAAGCCATGTTCACATTTTTACGTGTTTGTTACAGTAGCATCCCACTATTAGTACCAAAATTTGTACTAATTTTCTTTTGATGTTGTATCAAATTACCACACACTTCATGATTTAAAATAGTGTGGATGTATTGTCTTACAATTTTGTATGTTAGAAACCCAACACAGGTCTCTCAGTAGGGTAAAATCAAGATGTCAGCAAGGCTGTGCTTCTTTCTGGAGGCTTTAGGGAAGAATTCATTCCCTTGGCTTTTCCATTTTATATAAACTGCCCACATTCCTCGGCTCATGGGCCCAGTGGGAAATGCTGGGAAGAGTCCTTCTCATGCTGTCGTTCCCTGTTTTTCTCTTCCAAGTTTCTCTTTTTTACTTTTAAGGACTCTTGTAATTACAACAGGTCCACTGGAATACTCCAGGATAATCTCATTGTTTTAATGTTAGCTGATTAGCTAGCTAACATTAAATGAAGGAAGATTCTCTCCATGAGGAAGACATGAGGAGGCTATAGGAAACAGTGGATCGGCCTTTGTTTACTGGTGAGAAGCAGCCCCAGGATAATAGCTATGAGCCATGAGAGGTAGCCTCAGTATAATAGCTGTGCACCAGATGTAGGAGCCAGGCTGAAGCTGAGGATGGAAGGCTCTAGGAGAGAGGTCTCCTGACTGCAGAGGAGATGAGCTGAGAGATTTGAATTCTTGATAATGTGATAAAGGAATGAAAGCAAAGAAGTAAAGGAGACAGAAAATCCAAGAAAGACAAAAAATTTGTATACTAAAGTTGTCCAAAAAGAAAAAAAAGGCTGAAATGAATACAAACAGAAAGAATGATGAAAAGCTGGAAGACATCAGAGGTATGGTGAAAATATATGTGATTCTTCTTCCCCAAACAATGACTACCTCCAAAATAGCAATAAAATGTAATCAGAAATAGTGTATGGGGTGTAGGGGTCAATAGGAAATGTGCAAGAAAAGCTAGATATGAATATGAAGGGAACTGAAAACACAGAATGATTCAAAGAAGGGAATCTTAACCTGAGAAAGATTGAATACTAATAATTTAACTACTTTTTATGTTAATATATTTAAGTAACGGTATAGTTGAAAAAAGTTGGGAAGTGAATGACAAATGGAGAAGAGATGTGCAGTTATAATGTAATTATCGTATGATCAAATGAAACTATATACACTATAATGAAGAAAATAATGTATTTGCTGATAATACAAGTAAGGAAAATTGATCCTTCTCTTTCATCTTTATCATTTTCCTCATTTATCTCTAAGTTCAAATGTCATACAATAATATGGAAGGCTTAATTATGAAAAGGAACCATTTTTTCCATGCCCCTGCCACCCTTCTCTACTCAATTCTACATTCAGAAGCAATGATTTTTACATTTTGCTAGTTTTAGTTTTTAAGATAGTCTTCCTCCTGTTGTGATCAAATAATGAATCAAGAGTTTTATTTCTTTGTTTTATTTTGTTTGCTTTAAAGTGGATACAACTATAAATGAAGGTTCAGTTATATTGTTTGAAGTTGTAGTTCAGTGAAGAAATAAAAAATAATTATTAATTATACTAGGAAGAAATACATGAAGTGAGGGATTATATAAATCAGGTAAATTCTCACATAAATCATAGCTAGAAAATGGAGAATATATAAATACAATATATGCAGAAAGAGTTGCAAATACACCATATTTCACAACATGAAGAAAGCCATCTTGAAAACTGAACGTAGCCAAGCTGAAAAGTTATTTCCACTGCTACGCAGAAGTTTTTTGGTTTAATTAGGTTTCATTCATTTATTTTTGTTTTTGTTGCATTTGCTTTTGGGGTCTTAATAATAAATTCTTTGCCTAGGCCAATGTCCAGAATTTTTCCTAGGTTTTCTTCTAGAATTTTTATGGTTTCAGGTCTTAGATTTAAATCTTTAATTTTTATATATGGTGAGAGATAGGGATCCAGTTTCTACATGTGGCTATCCACTTTCCCCAGTTAATGTTTTTGTGTGTTTTGTCAAAGTTCAGTTGGTTATAAGTGTTTGGCTTTATTTCTGGGTTCTCTGTTCTGTTCCCTTGGTCTATGTGCCTACTTTTATACCAGTACCATGCTGTTTTGGTAACTATAGTCTTGTAGTAGAATTTGAATGTAATTCTGGAGTAATGTGATGCCTCCAGATTTTTTCTTTTTGCTTAGGATTGCTTTGGCTACTCAGGCTCTTTTTTGGTTCCATATGAATTTTAATATATTTTTTTAATTCTGTGAAAAATGACATTGGCATTTTGATAGGAATTGCATTGAATCTGTAGATTGCTTTGGGGGTATGGTGATTTTCATGATATTGATTTTTCCAATTCATGAGCATGAGATGTATTTCCATTTGTTTGTGTCATCTATGATTTCTTTTAGCGGTGTTTTGCAGTTCTCCTGGTAGAGATATTTTCCTTCCTTGGCTAAGTATATTCCTAGGTGTTTTATGTTATTTTTTGCAGCTATTGTAAAATAATTTAATTCTTGATTTGATTCTCAGCTTGATCATTGTTGATGGACAGCATTGCTACTGATTTGTGTAGATTTTATAATGAGATTTTACTGAATTCATTTATCAAATCTAGGAGTCTCTTGGAGGAGTCTTAGGGTTTTCTAGGTATGAGATCATATCATTGGCAAACAATGGTAGTTGACTGCCTCTTTTCCAGTTTGGATGCCCTTTATTTCTTTCTCTTGCCTGATTGCTCTGGCTAGGATTTCCAGTACTATGTTGAGTATAAGTGGTGGAGGTGGGCATCCTTGTCTTATTCTGGTTCTTACGGGTAATGTTTTCAACTTGTCTGCATTCAGTGTGATGTTGGCTGTGGGTTTGTCATATATGGCTGTTATTATTTTGAGGTAAGTTCCTTCTATGCCTAGTTTGTTGAGGATTTTTTATCATAAAGGATGTTGACTTTTGTCAAATGCTTTTTCTGCATCTATTGAGATAATCATTTTATTTTTGTTTTTAATGCTGTTTATAGGATGAATCACATTTATTAACTTGCATGTGTTGATCCATCCTTGCATCCCTGGGATAAAACCCACTTAATCATGGTAAATTTTTTGATATGCTGTTAGATTCATTTTGCTAGTATTTTGTTGAAGATTTTTGCATTTATGTTTATCAGGTATATTGGTGTGCAGTTTTTTTTTTTTAATGTTATGTTCTTTCCTTGTATCAGGGTGATACTGGCTTTGCAGAATGGGTTTGGGTAGGGAGTTCCCACCTTCTCAGTGTTTTGGAATAGTTTCAGTAGGATTGGTACCAATTCTCTGAGTGTATAGTAGAATTTGGCTGTGAATGTGTCTGGTCTTGTGCTTTGTTTTTTTGTTGGCAGATTTTAAAATTATCACTGATTCAGTCTCACTACTTGTTATTGGTCAGTTCAGGATTTCTATTTCTTTTTTTTGTGAGAAGTTTCTATTTCTTTTTGATTTAAGCTAGGGGGGCGTTCTATGTTTTCAGGAATGTATCCATTTCCTCTAGATTTTCTAGTTTGCCTGCACAGAGGTGTTTATAGTAATCTCCGATGATCTTTTGTGTTTCTGTAGTGTCAGTTATAATGTCTTCATGTTTGTTTTTATTGAGCTTATTTGAATCTTCTGTCATTTCTTGATTAATCTAGCTAGTGGTCTATGAACTTTGTTTATCTTTTCAAAAAACCAACTTTTAGTTTCATTTATCTTTTGTGCTCTATAGTTTTTGGTTTTAATTTCATTTACTTCTGCTCTAATCTTTGTTACTTCTTTTCTTCTGCTAGCTTTGGGTCATCAGAGTAAACAGGCATCCCACAGAATGGGAAAAAGTATTTGCTAACTATGTATCTGACAAAAGACTAATGTCTGGATTCTACAAGGCACTCAAACAAATAAGCAAGAATAAAGACCAAATAATCCAGCTGGGCGAGGTGGCTCATGCCTGTAATCCCAGCACTTTGGAAGGCCAAGGTGGGTGGATCATTTGAGGTCAGGAGTTCAAGACCAGCCTGACCAACATTGTGAAACCCTGTCTTTACTAAAAATACAAAAATTAGCCAGGTGTAGTGGCACATACCTGTAATCTCAGTTACTTTGAGGCTAAGGTGGGAGAATCCCTTGAACTCGGGTGGTGAAGGTTGCAGTGAGCTGAGATCGTGCCATTGCACTTCAGCCTGGGTGACAGAGCGAGTCTTCATCAAAAAACAAACAAACAAGACACCAAATAATCCCATTAAAAAGTTGGCACAAATGACATGAATAGACATTTCTCAAAAGAAGATATACGAATGGCCAAAAAACACATGAAAAGATGCTCAACATCACTAATCATTAGAGAAATGCAAATTAAAACCCCAAGATACCACCTTACCCCACAGCCTGAATGGCCATTATTAAAAAATCAAAAAACAATAGCTGATGGTATGGATGTGGTGAAAAGGGAGTGCTTATACATTACTGGTGGGAATGTAAAGTAGTACAACCTCTATGGGAAATAGTATGGAGATTTCTCAAAGAACTATAAGTAGATCTACCATTTGTTCCAGAAATCTCACTACTGGATATCTACCCAAAGGAAAAGAAGTCATTATATTGAAAAGATACCTGCAAGCGTATGTTTATTACAGCACAAATCACAATGGCAAAGATATGAAGTCAATCTAAGTGCCCATTAATTGATGACTGGATAAAGAAAATGTGGTATGTATATAGGTGTAGATATATACCGTGCAATACTATTTAGCTATAAAAATGAAATTACATCTTTGCAGCAACTTGAATGGAACTAGAGGCCATTATCCTAAGTGAAGTAACTCAGGAATGGAAAGCCATATACTACATGTTCTCACTTATAAGTGGGAGCTAAGCTATGGGCGCACAAAGGCATACAGAATAGTATAATGGACATTGGAGACTCAGAGTGGCAAGAGAAGTATGAAAATCTACCTATTGGGTACAATGTACACGACTTGGGTGACAGGTACATGAAAATCCCAGACTTCACCACTCTACAATTCATTCATGTAACCAAAAACCACTTGTACCTACAAAGCTATTGAAATAAAAAAAAATATAAAAGTCATTGCCTCTGTTAATGTAGAATTAGGAGTGGAGAACGATGAGTGAGGGGATGGGAGTAATGGTTAATTTTCATTATGAAGACTTTATATCAGTATGTGACTTTTGTACTTAGGGATAAATTGACAAAAGAATGATAAAGCTGAAAGAGAAGGATCGATCTTCCTCACTTGTATTACCAGTCAAAATACGGATACTTGTATATTGTGGTGCCTATAGCTTTAAAGCCTCTGGAATAAGAACGAAAGGATAAACTTAATTAGTAGACTAAAAGTGCTCTTCAACACTTAGGTTTATAGGCTAAAAATAAGCTTATATATAAGTGCTTTCATGTTGCCTATAAAATGACTACTCTAGTGACTGAAATGTATCTTTGTAATTAAAACCTCCATGTGAGCAACATTTGAACCCCAAGATAAATGGATTAGCGAAGGAAACATAGGGCAGCATAATTATGGTGACCTTATTTGAGTAGTGAACATGGCCAAGATTGGGTGCAGAATTTGCAAGAGTAGACCTACAGGAACTGTCAAAATACAACCCATTAGCTGTGCATAATTAGATCAACAGCTTGAAATTTCCAAAGACTTTGTTTAAATTTCATGTGTGAAGACTGTGTGATGTAAGCGTAGAGTCGATATTTAAATTCATAAACTTAAATCCAAGTAACCAAAACCACTTGTACTCCCAAAGCTATTGAAATAAAAAAAAAGGCCGGGCGCGGTGGCTCACGCCTGTAATCCCAGCACTTTGGGAGGCCGAGACGGGCGGATCACGAGGTCAGGAGATCGAGACCATCCTGGCTAACACGGTGAAACCCCGTCTCTACTAAAAATACAAAAATTAGCCGGGCATGGTGGCGCGCGCCTGTAGTCCCAGCTACACGGGAGGCTGAGGCAGGAGAATGGCGTGAACCCGGGAGGCGGAGCTTGCAGTGAGTCGAGATCGCGCCACTGCACCACAGCCTGGGCGACAGAGCGAAACTCCGTCTCAAAAAAAAAAATAAATAAAAAAACAGTCATTGCCCCTGCTACCTAGAATTAGGAGTGCAGAAGGATGAGGAAGGGGACGGGAATAATGGTTAATTTTCATTATGAAGCCTTTACATGCCCATTGATGGCAACGCAAACACAATAGTAAATGGGTTGGGAGAAATGGGGAAAATTGTAAATGGAACACCCTCATAATAAGAGAACTGAAGAGCTTCCAAACCTTTTCTAATTTTTGAGATTTTCAGGGACTACCTGCATTTACCAGCCAGAACAGAGAATAGAAGGTAGAAAACTATGAACCACTGCTGTTTATATTTTAAAAGGGTTATATTTGGGAGTTACACACTGGTAACTAAACATTAAAATCATCCCAAGTTTCATTTATCACAAATTCACATTATGATTTTGTGTGGTTTTGCTTTGGAAGTAAGATGGTGATATCTCAAAAAGTGCTTCAGTTTTGAAGAAAAATAATATTTTTCACCCTTTTCTGTTCATTTTTGCTCTGGAATATATTCTGGGTGTTACTCTGGGTCTAAAGATGAGCTTGATAAGAAGCCGTATTTGTCCTAGAGTGGATTGTATCATCGTAACTCTGAATTTGGCTTAGGGACTTTAGTTCAAATTGCTAGGAAAGTGAATTGGCTACATTACATTCAGATTCATTGAGTGTATAATTTCTACCAACTGACTGAGAGTGCAGTCAAGAGACTCGTGTAATTATGACCTGCTTTTAAACAATTATTTAGCATGGAATAAGGGGATATGAAATTTTTTTATTACTATACATTTACAAGGTAAGACTCATTTGAAACAGAAGATTAAATGCAGACAAAGCAAACTGTTGTTAAGGGAATGCATATATATATCATCTAGAATAAAGGAGGGCATTATGTAATTAGGAATCATTGTCAAAAAATCAAGTATGGTAGATTATAAAACTTGTTAAAAAGGAAACATTATTAAAGGATAAGGGAAAAAGTTATAATGATGAAATAACAACTGAAATTCTAGAAGACAATGGGATAGCATGTGTGGGAGAAATAATAAGAAAAGATAATTTAAAAATTAGGTTAAAAGAAACTTAAAACTATTTGGTTGACTATGATAGGGTTAGAGAACATTTCTAAACATGTGAGAGGATAGAAATATTCATTAAATTAAATTTGTATATTTATTTCATCAAAACATCTAACTCTATGGTTTACTTTATAAACTATGAGGAAGACACAGATATTCAAAATATTTCCAATATAATTTGAAAATGAGTTGATTCATGTCATCCATATCTCAGAAATACAGCTTCTTTCCTAATTCTACTATTACTTCATATATTGATCTATAAAAGTTGAAACATATTTACCTGTGATTTTCTTTTCTGTATTATCATAATCGATACTGCAAAATTAGTTTTTCAGCTACATCTGAAATGTGGCCATTTTATCAAAGTACACGGTACACCATGGAAAGTGGCTGTCATGGTATCAGAGCACAGTTTCATGTGCAATGCTTCTTTCTGAGCTAATTTTTTAATAGATTTTTTTTTCTGCAGTTAAAACAGGGAATGTGAAATTTTCAAACGTGAAGAATTACAATTTTTGAAATGTGGTTTTCTCTTACCATCAGTGTGTATTGCCAGGCATTGGATATAATTAGATTAGACAATTCACTTTGTAAATGTAATTCTCTCTGTGAGAAAACTTCCAAGACTTTCTTTTTCTACTTTTACATAGAAAAATGGAAACATATATAAAGCAAACAAAATAGTGTACCCACCACCCAGCTTTATCAATTATCTAGTGATTTTGTTATTCTTGTTTTGTCTATATCCCCATTTCCACCATGTTATTTTTTAATAGTTTTTAAAATAAAATTTCACTGAAATGTACAAATGTAACCCATACCCTATCAAGATATAGAGTATGCACATCATCCTAGACAGTCCCCTTATGTCCCTTCCCAGTCAATCTCCATTCCCTGCAAATGAAGTAACCACTTATTTTTTCCACCTACAATTAATTTTGCCTGTTCTAGAACTTCAGTTAAATGTAATTATGCAGTATGCACTACTTGCACTGGCTTATTTCACTCAGTGTAATGCCTCTGAGATTCAACCTCATTGTTCTGTGTATCATATTTTCCCCTTTTCAATGGTAAGTATACTCTACAGTAGGGATAGACCACGACTGTGTTTGTTTATTCCCTCTTGTCCTGATAATGGTTATTTCCAGTTTGGGGTATTATGAATAAATTTAATAAACATTCATGTATAACTCTTTTTGTGGACATACGTTTTCACTTATATGTCTAGAAATGGAATGGATGAGTTCATAGGTAAGAATATGTTCAATGTGATAAGAACTTTTCATACTTTTCTCCAAAGAGATTGTACCATGTTATATTTTCACCAGAAATGTATGAGTGTTCTTCTGGCTACATATTAGTATCCTTGCTAATATTTGGTACTGTTAGTATATTACATTTTAGTCATTCTAGTGTATGTGTAGTGGCATCTCATTATGGTTTTAATTTGCATTTCCCTCAAGACTAGTGTTATTAGGCACTTTGTTACTAATTGTTTATTCAGATAGCGTCATATATAAAGTTCCTGTTTAGCATTTTGCCCATTTAAAAAATGGGAATATTGGTATTATTTATTTGGAGGAGTTATTTACACCTTCAAGGAAGAAGTATTTTTCCCAGATTTATGTTTCCCAAACATTTTCTCCCAATCTGTGTCTTATTTTTCATTTATAAACAGTGTCTTTTAATGAACAGAAACTTTAAATTTGTATAAAAGTAGCTATCTTTTTAACTTACTTTATATTTTTTGCTTTCTTTCTCCTCAGAAATCATAGGATGTAATGATATTTTCCTGTGAAGTATTCTAAAGGCTTTATAGTTTAAGCTCATGTGTTCAGGTTTATGATCCATCTTAAAATAATTTTTATGTATGGTATGAGGCTCAGGTAAAATTTTATGTTTTTCCACATGGATATTCAGTTGCTCTCCACCATTTATGTAAAGACTTTCCTTTCCCCATTCAATTGCTTTGGTGCCTTTTGTTGAAAAGCAATTTTTCATATATCTTTGTGCCTATTTTTGTACTCTCCATCATGCTCCATTAATCTATTTGTCTATGGTTATGCCAATACAACATTATATTGATTACTGTAATTTTATCATAAATCTTAAAGTTCTGTAACATAAGTCTTCCAAATTTGATTCTCATTTTCAATGTTGTAGAAATGGCTAAGCATAGTTTCACATACAGCTGATTTCCTTCTGGTATTTATATTGTATATCTGTTTTTGAAAAAATGTAAATTAACTACTCACTTTGGAAAATTTGAATCATACAGATGAATAAATGGAAGGAGATTGTAAAAATTATTCCTAAACCACGGTTAGTTTGGACATATCTAGGGCATGTGCAAATATTATAAATAAAGGTAAGTCTATACCTAGAGTTGGCTAGTGAATAATACTGTCAGTTGCTCTGATATTTTAAATGCAGGGTTTTAATTCAACATTGGATATATACACATTTTTGCTCATGCAGAGATGCAATCAACAGCGTGTAACATTGCTTTGCTATTCAAAAAAAGCTTTGATGTCAAACTGGGTTAAAAATGTGTCCACTTTGTGAGTTAGAACAGAGGAAAACATTCATGGGATTTATAATTCCACTAATGTTATAACTGCCCTAGTTTAAATTCTTACATTCTACTTGATTGAAAAAATCAGAATCCATTGACATTTACATGTAATTGTTAAATATTTGTAAAATAAATATTGCCTCTGTGCATGAAAGTTTGGAGAAAGATGGGGGAAATACACTTTAAGTTGTTAGCATGAAGAGGTGGTGGCCTGCATGGCAGAGAGGGAGCAATCATAGAATGTGGAAAAACATTGCTCTATCTAAGACGTTTATATTTTTAGGTTTCAGGCAAGTCGAGAGTCAGCTGCAGTCTCCCCCTTCTCCACCTGGCACTTGCCTATTTTGAGCTGTCATTATCCTCCTCATCTCCCCCTTCTGTTTAGCACACTGACCCCTCTAAATGTCAGCTGGGAATAATGGGCTGCTCTAGTGCCAGCAAGCTTTTCATTGTCCAAAGCCTTGGGATCTGCCTTTTGCTCCTAATTTCTATGTCTTTGAGTTTTTAAGTTTCAGGGCAATTATTCCCAATTCCCTGTTAGCAGTTGTTTTCTTCCCAAGGGCTAGACTGTGAATTCATAGTACGTTCAATTTTCAGCAAAGATTTTTTTATTTTCACTTCTCTTTGGATTTTTTTGCTCATTACTGTAGAAAATTGGAGTTTGAGTATGTTAAAACATGGATTCAAACCATCAGTGCCAAATCAATAATCCATATTTTATATTGTATAAGGAAGAATTTTTACATAGAATTAAAGAAATAATCGTGATGATTTCCGAACTGTTATGTGTGTTCATACTTGGATCAGAGAGAATTTATTGTACTTTAAAACTTTCTTTCTTGTAGTTGAGCCCACTCATCTTTAATGGAAGCACTAATGTTTAAAAGAATCACACTGTTGAATATAAGTTTTTGATTTAATATCCTAATAAAACTTGCTATATAGAAAAAAAATCATTATGCCCTCCATAATGCCTGCCAGAAATTAAGTAGCAGACAATTAGCTGGAATCCTCGAAATCTTCAGAATTCATTGCAGCTAGGAATTAAAATTCCATCTTTTAATTTCTCTTCTATGTAGAAACCAAGTCAAATTCTAAGAAATATTATTCATTTGCTCCTGAGCCAAAGAAACAATTTGAGCTCAACAATTTGAGCTCATCACTGGCCTTTAGGAAAACTGTCACATCGTTTATAATAAGTATAAATGATAAAGTTAAGCTGACTTATTTCTTTAGGAAAATTCACTTTGCTACTTAAACGTATACAGATTTGTTTGCTTGATTTCTGTAGTGATTATTGGCAGTCCAGATGATTTGGTATTTAATTTAAAACTGCCTTATATTTTACTTTAGCTTTAGGTGTATCCAGGTAGGGTAATGGGATTGCTATCTCCCCAGCAAAGTACCTGGTCAATCCACACCCTGTGCCTTATACATTGCTTAGCCTAATGTGGGCATGTAATGGATGTTCAAGGTATATTTCCTACCATAATGAATGAGGAAAATGAAATTATGGAATTTCCTGGATATCATTTCAGAGTTATTTGAATTTCCGGGCATGAGCCATAGAAAATACGTTTTGAGAGGACACATTGTAAAAAGCAGAATTTTAGGACATCTCTTCTTGTAGTGCTATGTAGGAGAAGAGAGAGAGGGTAGAATGTGAAAGTAACAACACCAGTTTGGAGGCCACTGCATAGACATGATTACTTTCACGGGATCTATGTACCAGTCTAATCAAAATTCTCATTGCTTCTCTCATTCTATTGCTCTGTACCTTTTCTCTGTATCTTCACTGTCCTGTTCTGGTGACCTCTCTCCTCTAGGCTTTAGAGCCTTCTAAAGCATGAATGAATGTGATGCCCTGAAATTGATTTTGAAATTCTGTTATTTGCTTTATGAATCCGGGTGCTCCTGTATTGGGTGCATATATATTTAGGATAGTTAGCTCTTCTTGTTGAATTGATCCCTTTAACATTATGTAATGGCCTTCTTTGTCTCTTTTGATCTTTGTTGGTTTAAACTCTGTTTTATCAGAGACTAGGATTGCAACCCCTGCCTTTTTTTGTTTTCCATTTGCTTGGTAGATCTTCCTCCATCCCTTTATTTTAAGCCTATGTGTGTCTCTGCACATGAGATGGGTTTCCTGAATACAGCACACTGATGGGTCTTGAATCTTTATCCAATTTGCCAGTCTGTGTCTTTTAATTGCAGCATTTAGCCCATTTACATTAAGGTTAATATTGTTATGTGTGAATTTGATCCTGTCATTATGACGTTAGCTGGTTATTTTGCTCCTTAGTTGATGCAGTTTCTTCCCAGCCTCGATGGTCTTTACAATTTGGCATGTTTTTGCAGTGGCTGGTACCAGTTGTTCCTTTCCATGTTTAGTGCTTCCTTCAGGAGCTCTTTTAGGGCAGGACCGGTGGTGACAAAATCTCTCAGCATTTGCTTGTCTGTAAAGGATTTTATGTCTCCTTCACTTATGAAGCTTAGTTTGGCTGGATATGAAATTATGGGTTGAAAATTCTTTTCTCTAAGAATGTTGAATATTGGCCCCTACTCTCTTCTGGCTTATAGAGTTTCTGCCGAGAGATCCGCTGTTAGTCTGATGGGCTTCCCTTTTTGGGTAATCCGACCTTTCTCTCTGGCTGCCCTTAACATTTTTTCCTTCATTTCAACTTTGGTGAATCTGACAATTATGTGTCTTGGAGTTGCTCTTCTCGAGGAGTATCTTTGTGGTGTTCTCTGTATTTCCTGAATTTGAATGTTGGCCTGCCTTGCTAGGTTGGCGAAGTTCTCCTGGATAATATCCTGCAGAGTGTTTTCCAGCTTGGTTCCATTCTCCTCATCACTTTCAGGTACACCAATCAGATGTAGATTTGGTCTTTTCACATAGTCCCATATTTCTTGGAGGCTTTGTTCATTTCTTTTTATTCTTTTTTTCTCTAAACTTCTCTTCTTGCTTCATTTCATTCATTTGATCTTCCATCACTGATACCCTTTCTTCCAGTTGATCGAATCGGTTACTGAGGCTTGTGCATTCGTCACGTAGTTCTCGTGCCGTGGTTTTCAGCTCCATCAGGTCCTTTAAGGACTTCTCAGGATTGGTTATCCTAGTTAGCCATTTGTCTAATTTTTTTTCAAGGTTTTTAACTTCTTTGCCATGGGTTCGAACTTCCTCCTTTAGCTCGGAGTAGTTTGATCATCTGAAGCCTTCTTCTCTCAACTCGTCAAAGTCATTCTCTGTCCAGCTTTGTTCCATTGCTGGTGAGCACCAAGATTCATAAAGCAAGTCCTTAGAGACCTACAAAGAGACTTAGACTCCCACACAATAATAATGGGAGACTTTAACACCCCACTATCAACATTAGAGAGATCAACGGGACAGCAAGTTAAAAGGATATCCAGGAATTGAACTCAGCTCTGCACCAAGCGGACCTAATAGACATCTACAGAACTCTCCACCCCAAATCAACAGAATATACATTCTTTTCAGCACCACACCACACCTGTTCCAAAACTGACCACATAGTTGGAAGTAAAGCGCTCCTCAGCAAATGTAAAAGAACAGAAATTATAACAAACTGTCTCTCAGACCACAGTGCAATCAAACTAGAACTCAGGATTAAGAAGCTCACTCAAAACCACTCAACCACATGGAAACTGAGCAACCTGTTCCTGAATGACTACTGAGTACATAACGAAATGAAGGCAGAAATAAAGATGTTCTTTGAAACCAACGAGAACAAAGACACAACATACCAGAATCTCTGGGACACATTCAAAGCAGCGTGTAGAGGGAAATTTATAGCACTAAATGTCCACAAGAGAAAGCAGGAAAGATCTAAAATTGACACCCTAACATTACAATACAAAGAACTAGAGAAGCAACAGCAAACACATTCAAAAGCTAGAAGGCAAGAAATAACTAAGATCAAAGCAGAATTGAAGGAAATATAGACACAAAACCCTTCAAAAAATCAATGAATCCAGGAGCTGTTTTTTTGAAAAGATCAACAAAATTGATAGACCGCTAGCAAGACTAATACAGAAGAAAAGAGAGAAGAATCAAATAGATGCAATAAAAAGTGATAAAGGGGATATCACCACCGATCCCACAGAAATACAAACTACCATCAGAGAATACTATAAACACCTCTACACAAATAAACTAGAAAATCTAAAAGAAATGGATAAATTCCTCAACACATACACCCTCCCAAGACTAAACCAGGAAGAAGTTGAATCTCTGAAGAGACCAATAACAGGCTCTGAAATTGAGGCAATAATTAATAGCTTACCAAACAAAAAAAGTCCAGGACCAGATGGATTCACAGCTGAATTCTACCAGAGGTACAAGGAGGAGCTGGTACCATTCCTTCTGAAATTATTCCAATCAATAGAAAAAGAGGGAATCCTCCCTAACTCATTTTATGAGGCCAGCATCATCCTGATACCAAAGCCTGGCAGAGACACAACAAAAAAAGAGAATTTTAGACCAATATCCCTGATGAACATTGATGCAAAAATCCTCAATAAAATACTGGCAAACCGAATCCAGCACCACATCAAAAAGATTATCCACCATGATCAAGTGGGCTTCATCCCTGGGATGCAAGGCTGGTTCAAGACACGCAAATCAATAAACGTAATCCAGCATATAAACAGAACCAATGGCAAAAACCACATGATTATCTCAATAGATGCAGAAAAGGCCTTTGACAAAATTTAACAACCTTCATGCTAAAAACTCTCAATAAATTAGGTATTGATGGGACATATCTCAAAATAATAAGAGCTATCTATGACAAGCCCACAGCCAATACCATACTGAATGGGCAAAAACTGGAAGCATTCCCTTTGTAAACCGGCACAAGACAGGGATGTCCTCTCTCACCACTCCTATTCAACATAGTGTTGGAAGTTTTGCCAGGGCAATCAGACAGGAGAAGAAAATAAAGCGTATTCAATAAGGAAAATAATAAGTCAAATTGTCCCTGTTTGCATATGACATGATTGTATATATAGAAAACCCCATTGTCTCAGCCCAAAATCTCCTTAAGCTGATAGGCAACTTCAGCAAAGTCTCAGGATACAAAATCAATGTGCAAAAATCACAAGCATTCTTATACACCAATAACAGACAGAGAGCCAAATCATGAGTGAATTCACATTCACAATTGCTTCAAAGAGAATAAAATACCTAGGAATCCAACTTACAAGGGATGTGAAGGACTTCTTCAAGGAGTACTACAAACCACTGCTCAATGAAATAAAAGAGGATACAAACAAATGGGAGAACATTCCATGCTCATGGGTAGGAAGAATCAATATTGTGAAAATGGCCATACTGCCCAAGGTAATTTATAGATTCAATGCCATCCCCATCAAGCTACCAATGACTTTCTTCACAGAATTGGAAAAACTACTTTAAAGTTCATATGGAACCAAAAAAGAGCCTGCATTGCCATGTCAGTCCTAAGCCAAAAGAACAAAGCTGGAGGCATCACACTACCTGACTTCAAACTATACTACAAGGCTACAGTAACCAAAACAGCATGGTACTGGTACCAAAACAGAGATATAGACCAATGGAACAGAACAGAGCCCTCAGAAATGATGCCACATGTCTACAACTATCTGATCTTTGACAAACCTGACGAAAACAAGAAATGGGGAAAGGATTCCCTATTTAATAAATGGTGCTGGGAAAACTGGCTAGCCATATGTAGAAGGCTGAAACTGGATCCCTTCCTTACACCTTATATGAAAATGAATTCAAGATGGATTAAAGACTTAAATGATAGACCTAAAACCATAAAAACCCTAGAAGATAAACTAGGCAATACTATTCGGGACATTGGCATGGGCAAGGACTTCATGTCTAAAACACCAAAAGCAATGGCAACAAAAGACAAAATTGACAAATGGGATCTAATTAAACTAAAGAGCTTCTGTACAGCAAAAGAAACTACCATCAGAGTGAACAGGCAACCTACAGAATGGTACAGAATGGGAGAAAATTTTTGTAATCTACTCATCTGACAAAGGGCTAATATCCAGAATCTACAATGAACTCCAAGAAATTTACAAGAAAAAAACGAACAACTCCATCAAAAAGTGGGTGAAGGATATGAACAGACACTTCTCAAAAGAAGATATTTATGCAGCCAAAAGACACATGAAAAAATGCTCATCATCACTGGCCATCAGATAAATGCAAATCAAAACTACAATGAGATACCATCTCACACCAGTTAGAATGGTGATCATGAAAAGGTCAGGAAACAACATATGCTGGAGAGGATGTGGAGAAATAGGAACACTTTTACACTGTTGTGGGACTGTATACTAGCTCAGCCATTGTGGAAGTCAGTGTGGCGATTCCTCAGGGATCTAGAACTAGAAATACGATTTGACCCAGCCATCCCATTACTGGGTATATACCCAAAGGATTATAAATCATGCTGCTATAAAGACACATGCACATGTATGTTTATTGCAGCATTATTCACAATAGCAAAGACTTGGAACCAACCCAAATGTCCAACAATGATAGACTGGATTAAGAAAATGTGGCACATATACACCATGGAATACTATGCAGCCATAAAAAATGATGAGTTCATGTCCTTTGTAGGGACATGGATGAAGCTGGAAACCATCATTCTCAGCGAACTATCACAAGGACAAAAAACCAAACACCGCATGTTCTCACTCATAGGTGGGAATTGAATCATGAGAACACATGGACACGGGAAGGGGAACATCACACTCTGGGGCTTGTTGCGGGGTGGGGGGAGGGGGGAGGGATAGCATTAGGAGATATACCTAACGCTAAATGACGAGTTAATGGGTGCAGCACACCAACATGGCACATGTATACGTATATAACAAACCTTCACGTGGTGCACATGTACCCTAAAACTTAAAGTGTAATAATAAAAAAAGAAATTCTGTTATTAAGAAGGAGATGACTGGGATTATCAAGGAAATCCATTCAATTTGTGGATGAGTTCTGAAAAAAATTCTAGAGATTTAGCCAAGGAGCATGTAGGGCATACTGTTTCTGTATAGTGTCTGCCCAGCCCTTCTACTGGTCTGCAGTATCTCCATGTCAGAGTTTTTCACAGGGGACTGAGGAGCCCAGCAAGCCACATAAGGAAAGTGTAGCAGGGAGGAGAGGAGAACAACTTTTTTATTTGCTGTTGGGCTTCAAGTAAAATAAGGACAGAGATACGGTCCACAGATTAACATCAAAGATCTTACTAATGGTCTTGAACAGAGCAGTTTTGGGGAACTATGAGATATTAGACTGGTTGAGGAATGCTTAAGAGAGTGTAGAAGAAGAGGAATTGGAGCAAGCAAATGCATACTCCTCTTTTGAGAACTGTGATAATCCGAAGCAGAGAACAGTTCCCCAAAATGTCATTCTAAACTGGAAAATAGCACAGCTGAGAGAAAACCTAAATCACTTTTTAGTCTTACATTTTGCATAACAAAGAGCTGAAACAACCATAAGAAAGATACAAAAAAATAGAAGCAATATAGGTAAGTATTAAGATGCTATGCTTGGCCAGGCATGGTGGCTTACTCCTGTAATCCCAGCACTTTAGGAGGCTGAAGGAAGCAGTTCACTTTAGGTCAGGAGTTCGAGGCTAGCCTGGTCAACATGGTGAAATCTGTCTCTACTAAAAATACACACACACAAAAGTAAGCCGGGCATGGTGGTGGGTGACTGTAATCCAAGCTACTGAGGATGGAGAATCGCTTGAACCTGGGAGGCGGAGATTGCAGCAAGCCAAGTTAGCACCACTGCACTCCAGCCTGGGCAACAGAGCGAGACTCTTAAAAAAAAAAAAAAAAAAAAAAGACGCTATGATGCTATGCTCTTAGTACCTTTACTATTTTCACACTAATTTATACCCATATATTTAAGGAGAACAGCTTCAATGGAGAGCTTGTATAAGATAGGATCTTTGAGTTAGGTAGATATTGTAGTTGGATCATTCAGAAAAACAGTAGAACTTTTGACTTGAAATTTAAATAAACTAAACTGACTGGATTTTCTAGGTAATACAATGTTTTCCTCCATTGTTGTATACAGTGTACCTGCTTATATCTGGAGTGTCATGAAAATAATGCCAGGCATTATTTTTATTTTTATTACTTTGCAAGTGAAATAAAACTGGCTCTAATGAGAATAGTAGAATAAGCATGTTTTATTGAATTATGATTTTAATTATGTATTCCATTATTATAAAACATGATCCAATGTTGCATTATTTTAGCCACTCAATGGTAAATGGAAAAGCAATTCATAATTAAATTAATGAAACCTAGCACCAAGGTGACTTTTCAGTAATTCCTTTTACAGCTGAACTGCAAGATAGATATAAAACGCTGTAAGATCTTTGACATATGTTATGGATTTAAACAAATTAAATGGAATTAATGTAATACACCTGCAGTTGAAAGGGTGTGGAGATAAGGAGTATTGTTACTTGTGACCTTCTTAATTAGGAAGTGAAATAGGCTATTAACAAAGCATACACTGTCTTCATTATTTTGCTTAGGACAGAGACTAGAACTAGAGGAAAGGCTTCAGTGAAAGGCTCTATTAAAATCTGTCATGGCTTACTCCTGGCCTGTTATTTAATCCAAAGTGTACACAGAAAGGGGAATGTCTATATTTTGCTGTTAGCATAAGTCTTTAAAGACATTTCTGACACCAATATCTTTTTTTATTTAAAAAATTTTATAGATTTAGGGGGTACAAGTGCAGTTTTGTCACAAGGATATATTGCCTAGTGTTGAAATCTGGGCTTTTAGTGTAACCATCAACCGAATAGTGTATATTATACACAGTAGTTAATTTCTTATCCCTCAACCCTCTTCCAACCCACCCACATTTTAGAGTCTCCAATGTCTATTATTCTACTTGGCATTGACACCAACATCTTATCTGTGATAGTTCATTAAGAGCTCATTAAATTTTAACAAAGGTGGTAATTGTTGCTAATGACTTACTTTTCTTTCTGTCTATACCTCTATACCTAGTTGTTTACTTACATGTATGTGAGTGGATATGCCATCCATTGATACCAATACTAAATATTTTTCCTAAGTGTAAAAATACCTTAGATAATAGAATACAAATATATTTATCAAATAATTCTTTTTTGTTTAGAACCAAATTTACATTATTGTGATTTTCACTTGGTAAATGCACCAGTTAAGGTTTTTTAAACATTAAGGTAAAGAAATGCTGATTTAATTTTCCCTCATGTTGAAAATGTCTTCACTGAGGACATGGTAAAAATGTCGAAGACTGTAACACTGGGTGTTTAGCTTGTCTATTTGAAAAATAAAATCAGTTCTGATTTTATTGAGTTGGGGAAAGATTCAGAGAAAAATTTTTTGCATCTACTATTTTGCATTCTTTCCCAAGTATTTTTAGCTTGTGGTAGAGATTAAGAAGGGTCTCTTGAAAAAATGACCCTCGTGACTCTTAATCCTGGCTGCAGATTCAAATCACCTGGGAAACTACAAAAAATAGTGACAGCTTCAAGGCTTTGGGACTTCCTGTGCCCTCTATCTGTCATGCTCTTCCCCGAGTTAATTACATGGATAACTGGCCCATCATCTCCTTCTAGTCTTTCCCCAAAAGTCATTTGTTTTTGAACACTCTCAAAGCTCCTCCATTTCTCCTAGTGTACTCCCCTTCATTATCTTTCTGTGAAGGGATCCTTGTGTATTTTGTTTGTTGCTTTTCCCACATGTAGAACAGTGCCTGAAACATAGTAAGCCCTCATCGATGTTTACTAAATAAATGATGCAGAATAAGTGGGGAGTTATTGTGAGTATAACAGTATCTAAATAAAGTACACAGCTTCATGGAATCACCTAGAGTCCTTGCTGAAAATACAGATTTTCTTCAATCTTCTTTCAATGATGAAATAGAAGGTTAGTTTCCTTAAAGTATGGCTTAACATTGTCATTTTAATTAGTTTTTCATTATTACAAGTTGAACATATCCTTAGCCATGAATATTTCTAACTTTTAGTTCTTTTTTTTTTCAGCTACTTTGCAATTAATCTGTTGGAGTTTTAGCTGTATTTTTATCAATTTGCATAAGCATTTTCTATATTAGGGCAATGAATTTTTAACCCTACAAGTATTTTCTCACCTTCTTTGTCTTCTTGAGGTGTTTTTGCTATATTTAACATTTTAATATTCAGAATAACTCTTTTATATTATTTCTTCAACTGTGCTTGAATTTAGAAATTACTCCCCTTTAAATACAGTCTTCAACAATTTTTGTGGTTTATTTTTCCACAAATTACTATTTAACAAATGATTTTTTCTTGCTATAGAGGTAAGAATTTTTCTTCTATAGAGCTGAACAGTTCTAGTACTTATTGAATAATACTATTTTCTAAATGTTTGGCATGGTTTTTCATTTCCATTCTAAATAAGATTAATAGTAGTTGATTATAGAGAAATAAGATAGAAATATGAATAGATTCTGGTATAGCAGATTGGAGTTCTTTTATTCTGCTCTGTTGATCTGTTGCCTTGTTCTTATTTCCAGGACTAAACTATTATAATTATGGTTTTATAGTATATTCATTACCTGACAGAGAAAGTCAACATCTTTTATTTAAAAAAATTCTACCTAGTCTAAAATGTTTATTTTTACTGAAATATTTCTAAATAATTGTTAACTCAAAATATTTGCTTGAAAATTTACTATTCTTTAAATTTTTAAATTATTTTTAGGTAAATTGCCATCTTTACAACATTTAATATTCTCATCCATAAAGAGGGTCTATCTTTTCCATGAATGTATATCTAATTTATACTTCAGAGTACACTCTTTAGTTTTTTTCATCTTAAGACCTGCAGCTTTAACAAAATTGTTATACACACACACAAATACATTTGATGTGAACTCTGAAAGAATCACAATATATTACCCTACTTTATATTTTTTAAAAAGTCCTTCAAGCTTCTTATCACTGTCCTTACTATTGACTGGAATTTTATTTTTCATTTTTTTTAAATTCCCCTGATGCCGACATTCAAAATGGTTAGAAGGAGCTTATTATATCCTAATATAACTCAGCTATGTCATGTCAAAAGTGACAAATAGATATCATTCTTGAATCAATGAAGGATAATCACGGTTCCTTTACTATGATACAGAAGTCGTAGAAAGTGATTTGTCCACCATTATAATTCAAATATAGTAAGATTTATGGCACAGATTCTCAATACAATATAAAATCTGATAATAAGTCATTTAATGTTCTGCTTCACTTACCAAGAAAATTACTAGCTATTTCCCCTGATCTCACCAAGTTAGATATTGCATTTTACAATTTGCATTGCATTTTATTATAGAAACATAAAATCATTTAAGAATATTTATAATAATGAGATAACCACAGTATAAAAACAGAAAGGGTTCAAGTTTTATGTACACAGTGTAATTAAAGATTATGAAAAAGAAAATATTGAGACTATGTGTCATAATCATATATTGTAATAACAAACATAATCTTTGATGAAAATAATTTGTTATCATGAACTAAGATCTAAAGTAGTTTTTGTTTAATAATATGCTTTATTTGGTAAAACTTTGGCTAAAAAGAACATTATTATGGGCTACATACATATAATTTTATGATAGAGACATTGTGTTTTCTCTCAGAAACTGTAATATACTTTTATATTCTCGAATCCACTTTATAAATAATGTTTTACTCAACTTTGTCTATGTTTTAAAATGTATTTTATGAAAAATTTCAAGCATATATAAGTACACTAAATGTTTTTGAAATTTTATGAGCAGAAAGTCATAAGAAAGGATTCTCCTGTGTGAGAAGTCAGATTGTAGTTGAGGAGAGATATTAGCCATCATCAGAACAATGTGGTTACAATTTGAAATTACAGTAACTACAAAGGCCCATGCATAAACATCTTGTTTGGGGAACCTCATACATCAATTTTATACCAAAGGCACTGCCTATTTTTAGTTTCAAGGAATTTCAGCATGGTCAAATGTTAGATGGGTAACTTTTCTTTGACAATCATGAATTCAGATATTAGAGATGAGAAATATGTTCTACACTGGGTAAGTAAAAATGTTTTACTTTAGTAATGATAACTGTAATGCTATAATTTTAACCATAGAAAGGGCGAAACCATCTACCAGCACCTACTACTCTAGGTGGAATCCTTGGACAATTAACACACCTATTTTGACTTATAGGTTGTAGAGTAAATGTATTAATGGTATAGTAGTATTGCTTGAACCCAAAATAGTGATTGTTTGCCGTCAGAAATATTTTAAAAGTTCCAGTACATTTATATAGCCATTTCCCCTAAAAAGTTGAAATCACATAGCATAGTTTAATCATTCATTATCAGAAATTTTTGGTAAAGTCAGAAATTAACTGGACCCTAAACACATTTATAACTCTCCAAAATTAACAGCAAGGTCTTGAGAAAACACTTATGTTCAGAAATCTTGCCTCTGCTCTAGAAAATGCCTAAATTCATGGGTAAGAAGTGGTAGTAGTGTTGGAGTTAATTAGCCAGGTGGTATTCTGAAAATAGAGATTCCAAAATGCTTAATACCCCACTAGTCTTCTAGGTAAACTATGTCTTCAGGTGCTCCTGAGTTTCATACAATAAATTCTGTCCCTTGAAGGTTAAATAAGACAAATATAAATTTCTCTCACAATCCCTCACTCTCCCTGTTCTTTGCTGGTTTTAGGCTTTACCTGGCTGAAGACTGTCCGTAGTGTTTTCTAGAGTTCTAAGTGTACACTTGGATAGAATTGAAAGTGACTGCAGAGTGTGCAGACTTCTAGAACTTTCCTTTAGAGAAGTGATCAGGAGTTGGTTCTTTACTGAGACTGTGATTCTAACAATTCTGGTACGCAGGGTCTGGGGTTCCTTCTAATTTAATGCCAAGATAAGGATGTTTCAGGCTGATGATATCTGATAGGGGGTTGTCCATCACTCAAAGTCCCTAAAGTTTCCTTGCATAGGTTGTGAAAATACAAAACAAAAAATGTCCCTGTAGCAGTTCAGCAATCTTACTGTGTTAATCCCTGCTGTGGGAAACAGTCATAGCAAAAGGAATATACATAAATCAATACATCAATAAATAACACCTCCTTTTGTGTTTACTCCTTCGCCAGACCTTATTGGCACTTACATAATCAAACCATTGTCCTGTGCACCCTGGGAAAGCTGATTGCTAACACTTGCTTTCAAACATCAAGGAGCTATAGTTTCATGAAGAGAGAGGGAGCGAGAGAGAGTTGGGTAAATAAAAATGTTTTACTTAAGTAATGATAACTGAATTACAGTTATCGTTACTAAAGAAGAGTCGGGTAAATATAAATCTGAATGTAATAAATCTTATAACTTATCTAGAGGCAGCATAACATTTGCAGACAAAAGGATTAATTCCAGCTTGGAAAATCATGGAAAGCACCTGAAAGGTAATTTTGAGTTGAGCCTTGAGAAATGATTGGTGAAGGGATATAAAGCTGAAGGAAAAAATCATGAGCACAAGCATGGAGGTGTGGATGCTCGTGGAATGGTTAGGGTATGGTAAGTTATCTGATAACACAGAAAGGAACAAATATGTAGTAGATGTTGAAATTGGAAAAAAAAAAAAGAAAAAACGAATGGAACTTGAGTGTGGTGAGTTCTACATACCATGATGAGGATTTGAGACTTTTCTTTAGGCCATAAAAGGCTATCAAAATGTTTGAAGAGAGTAGTACACATTGTGATTTGTCTAATGAGAAAGATTGTCTTAAATATCAATATAACAGAGGTTGAGAGACTATGAGAGCTCATCAGGATCATGTAGTGTAAATAAGAGAAGCTGAAAATAAAAGTGAAAATAAATAAGCAACTTCTTCCTCTAAGATATGAGAAATTGAGAAGAGGCTCAGTCTAGACAGGGACAAAGGTGGGAGTAGTATAAAGGACTCAGTTTGGGTTCCTCCAACTTCTTAATGAAGTAGCCAGCAAGGAAATTGGTTAAGTTTGAAGGTTTCCAGGAGTGGTTTGGGAAAAAAACAGCAACGACAAAAAAAGAATCAAAACATGATTTGGTTTAGACTGTGCTTAAATACAATATTATTTCAAATCCACGTAATAATGAGTCAAATGATCTCCTGAAATTCAGAATAGGAGGTGGGTGGGAAGAGTCAAGGGGACCCTGTAGGTCCCCTAGGGTGCTGAATCACGCAGGACATTGAGAGGGAGTGTCCCCACAGAAAACATGAAACATAAGCCATATATTTCAGGAATTAGTTTTTTGAGGAAGAAATTCTGTTTGTCTCTGGGGATAACAGCAGAAACTTACTCAATGGTGAATAACATCAGGAAGACATCTGCTTTGGAGCAGCTGTGGCCTTGTTATCTCTGATCTTTCATTCTGCCTGGTGTGTCTCCTCCCTGTGCTTTTCCTTTCTGGGTCTTCCCCCGTCATCTTGGGCTACCTAGTTCACAGTGTTCTATCTTTTAATTATGTTTAAATTGAGAGACAGACAAGATATAGATAAAATGAGTGACTACTTAGTGATAGAAGAGACTCACATTCAGACCTATATTATGGTCTTATGATGAGGAGCAGCAGCTGGAGGATGGGGGAGAATGGAACAGAGAGAAGTTGCCTTAGAACGATGTGTTTGTCCTTGTTCATATGAGAGGGAACTAACATGTAATATGCACCTACTGAGACTGGTCAGTGTGTTTATCATCTCTTTTCATTCTAAGAACAACTTCACAAGGCAGGTATAAATATTCCCATGTTACAAACACTGAAAATAGAAATTCAAAATGCCAGAATGCTTGCCTGAGCTCATCCAATTGGTTAGTAGCAATACTCAAGCTTGAACAAAGTCCAGTTGATTCAAAAGACTATGTTCTTTTCATTATACCATATGTATACCCATGTGAAATGCAAATGTATTTTTAAAAATCTGTCATTCAAACTAACCCTAAACTTTGGAGCATTTGTCAGTAAAACAATGTATTTCTATGCTCTGGTATATGTCATTGTTTTTTAGTGGCCTATTACTATAAAACTTTGAAAGTACTTTCAAGAAGATAGAAAAATGATGATTATTATTATTGCCAAATCTTATGGAATGGGAGTTCACTAAAATTCTATTGTAATTCTATTAACCCTGTCTTCTCCGTGGAAAAAATCAATAAAATGATGCTCAAATTGACACATAAGCTGCACAGTACCACATCAAATCAAGTGATTTTCAAAACTTGTGCTAACAAAATCTGTTAACCTGCTGAATACATGGGTAAAAGACTTCTTTTCCCTCTGAAGAGGCAATGTTGTCAACCTCTTGAAGAAACTTGACAAACTATCAAGCTATACTGCCTATTTGATTTTCCATAAAAATTCCCTTTGTAGCCTCTGGTATAGTGAATCACCCTCCTTAATTCCCAATAAAACATTCAAGGCAGAAATCATACTCAAATTTAATCATGGTAACATAGTGCCATTTCTATATAGGTTTGTGATATGATTGGTATATAAGAACTGATTAGCCGTCAGTGGTTTGGTCCAGTAATCCCTCCAAATGCCTTCCTCGTACTTAATATATTCATGGTGAGAAAGATATGCTTCAAAATAAAATGTGCGACTTTCTAGCTGAAAACACCACCTGTCGAGAAATGCTTAGGAATTTCAACAGGTAAGAAAAAAATACACTCTCCATTGAAGGTGCTGTGTACCCTTGGCAATATTGATATTCCAGGAAGGATGAAGATGTGCCTGAAGCAAAGAAGCTGAATTCATAGAGGGCAACACCCATCAATCTCAAGTAGTGAGAAATAAATATTATGTGATAAAAAGATTAACCTTATGATCTTTAGCCTCCTGGTAGATGAGGCTGTGTATGACTGACTCATGAATGTTGCAGAGAGCATGTGTGTGAAATCACTCAGCACAAGCCTCCAGGTCTGATTTCAAACTATTCTTTCTTTGCTTTCTATCTTCTTCCAAAATAGCATACTTTTTAGCCAAAGGGTATGATATTAGAATACCGTGATTCTTGGCTTTTCAGTGATTTATAGTATCCTCTAGGTTTATAGTTCATTTATTCATTCATTTAGTGATCTCCTTTTAGGTTCTAGGAGCTAGGGCAGGCACTGTGCATGTGGAGATTAATAAAACAATTTCTCTGCTTTTAAAGACCTCCCGATCTAGATAGACAGAGAAACAGACCAATTGAAGGAGGGTTTTAATGTAAGAAGCATGAAAGAAGTAATGAGAGAGTTTCAGGAGATCATTTGACTCATTATTACGTTGATTTGAAATAATACTGTACTTAAAAAAAAACAAAAACGAGTGGAACTTTTATGTGGTGAGTTCTACATATCATGATGAGGATTTGAGACTTTTCTTTAGGCCATAAAAGGCTATCAAAATGTTTTAAAAGAGTAGTGACACATTGTGATTTGCCTAATGAGAAAGATTGTCTTAAATATTAATATAACAGAGGCTGAGAGACTATGAGAGCTCATCAGGATCACGCAGTGTAAATAAGAAAGGCTGAGAATCAAAGTGAAAATAAATAAGCAACTTCTTCCTCTAAGATATGAGAAATTGTTGTTTTTCCCAACATGTGTCCATGTGTTCTCATTGTTCAGCTCCCACTTATAAGTGAGAACATGTGGTATTTGGTTTTCTGTTCCTGTGTTAGTTGACTGAGGATAACGGCTTCCAACTCCATCCATGTCCCTGAAAAGGACATAATCTCATTCCTTTTTATGGCTGCATAGTATTCCACGGTGTATATGTACCAAATTTTCTTTATCCATTCTATCATTGATGGGCATTTGGGTTGATTCCATGTCTTCACTATTGTGAATAGTGCTGCAGTGAACATACACATGCATGTATCTTTATAATAGGATGATTTATATTACTTTGCGTATATACCTAGTAATGGGATTGCTGGGTCAAATGGTGTTTCTGTCTCTAGGTCTTTGAGGAATTGCCACACTGTCTTCCACAATGGTTGAACTAATTTACACTCCCACTAACAGTGTAAAAGTGTTCCTTTTTGTCCTCAACCTCTTCAGCATCTGTTGTTTCTGGGCTTTTTAAAAATAATTACCATTCTGACTGGTGTGAGATGGTATCTCCTTGTGGTTTTGATTTGCTTTTCTCTAATGATTAGTGATGCTGACTTTTCATAGGTTTTTTGGCCACACGAATGTCTTCTTTTGAGAAGTTTTTGTTTGTTTTTTTCTTAGTAGTTTTTGACAAACTCTGTCTTCTAATTAGAGTCTTTACTTCATTAATATATAATGTAATTAATATTTTGGTGGACTGTATTACCAAACATTAAGTCAGGATCTTTTTTTTAAGGCAGGGTTTCACTATGTTGCCCAGGCTAGATTTGAATTCCTGGCCTCAAGTACTCTTCCCACCTACACATGTTATAAATCTCAGAAGGCAATGTTTTTTTTTAAGAGCAGTTTTAGGTTCACAGTAATGTTGAAAAAGGTATAATTTTATTTTAAAATCTTAAACAATGTAGAAAGAAATTAAGACAAACAAAAGTAAACAAAAGTTAGTCATTCACATTTATTCTGATATTTACCATTTTTATTAGTCTTTATTTTTTATTTTTTTGAGACAGAGTCTCACTCTATTGCCCAGGCTGGAATGAGTGCAGTGGTGCGATCTTGGCTCCCTGTGACCTCTGCCTCTCAGGTTCAAATGATTCTCCTGCCTCAGCCTCCCATATAGCTGGAATTACAGGCGTGCACCATCATGGCCAGCAAATTTTTGTATTTTTGGTAGTGACAGGGTTTCACCATGTTGGCCAGGCTGGTCTGGAACTCCTGACCTCGTGATCCTCCCACCTTGGCCTCCAAAAGTGCTGAGATTACAGGCGTGAGCCAATGTGTCCAGCCCTTATTAGTCTTTATTCTTTTCAGAGGATTCAAATTTGCATCTGGTATTATTTCTCTTCCTCCTAAAGAATTTCATTTACTATTTCTTTTAATATAGGTTTGCAGGCAATGAATTCTTTTAGTTTTTTGTGTCTGAAAAAGTATATTTTGCCTTCATTCTTGAATTATACTTTTGTTGGATATATAATATGAGTTGACCAATATTTTTTTCCTTTGGCACTTTAAAGATGTAACTTCACTCTTTTTTTATCCTCTCCTTATAGTTTCTGTTAAGAATCAGCCATCAATTGTATTGCTGCTCCCTTGTATAAAAAGCGTTGTTTTTTAAAACCTTCTTTCAAGATTTGTTCTTCATCATTGGCTTTAAACAGTCTGACTGTGATAGGCCTTTAGTCTGCTTCTGTATTTATTATTTTTTTAAATTTTACTTTAGGTTCTGAGATACAAGTGCAGAATGTGTAGGTTTGTTACATAGGTATATATGTGCCATGGTGGTTTGTTGGACCTGTCAACCCGTCATCTAGGTTTTAAGCCCCACATACATTTGCTATTTGTCTTAATGCTCTCCCTCCCCTTGCCCCCTACCTGCTAACTGGCCCTGTTGTGTGTTGTTCCCCTTACTGTGTCCATGTGTTCTCATTGTTCAACTCCTACTTATGAGTGAGAACATGCAGTGTTCGGTATTCTGTTCCTGTGTTAGTTTGCTGAGGATGATGGCTTCCAGCTTCATCCTCTCCACCCCAAATCAACAGAATATACATTCTTCTCAGTGCCACATGGCACTTATTCAAAAATCAACCACATAATTGGAAGTAAAACACTCCTCAGCAAATGCAAAAGAAGGGAAATCATAACAAACAGTCTCTCAGACCACAGTACAATCAAATTAGAACTCAGGATTAAGAAACTCACTCAAAACCACACGACTACATGGAAACTGAACAACCTGCTCCTGAATGACTCTTGAGTAAATAGTGAAATTAAAGCAGAAATCAAGAAGTTATTTGAAACAAATGAGAAAAAAGAGACAGCGTACCAGAATCTCTGGGACACAGCTAAAGCAGTGTTAAGAGGGAAATTTACAGCACTAAATGCCCATATCAGAAAGCTAGAAAGATCTCAAACTGATACCTTAACATCACAATTAAAAGAGCTAGAGAAGCAAGAGCAAACAAATCCAAAAGCGAGCAGAAGACAAAAGATAACTAAGATCAGAGCAGAACTGAAGGAGATAGAGACACAAAAAAACCCTTCAAAAAATCAATGAATCTAGGAGCTGGCTTTTTGAAAAAATTAACAAAATAGACTACCAGCTAGACTAATGAAGAAAAGAGAGAAGAATCAAATAGACAACATAAAATGATAAAGGGGATATCACCACTGACCACACAGAAATACAAACTACAGCCTGCTTCTGTTTTTTTTTTTTTTTTTTTTTTGAGATGGAGTCTCGCTCTGTCGCCCAGGCTGTAGTGCAGTGCACGATCTCGGCTCACTGCAAGCTCCGCCTCCTGGGTGAACACCATTCTCCTGCCTCAGCCTCCCAAGTAGCTGGGACTACAGGTGACCACCACCACGCCCGGCTAAGGTTTTGTATTTTTAGTAGAGACGGGGTTTCACCATGTTAGCCAGGATGGTCTCCATCTCCTTACCTCGTGATCTGCCTGCCTCAGCCTCCCAAAGTGCTGGAATTAGAGGTGTGAGCCACTGCGCCCGGCCTGTCTCTTTTTAACTGTTCTATTTGGTGTTGATTTAGTGTTTATTTAAATACCAAATCATTTTTAAACACGAAATCAAATTTAAACATTTCTGATTTTTATGAAATTTGGAGATTTAAGCCGTTGTTTCTTTTCTTTCCTTTCTTTTGTTTTCAGAGATGGGGTCTTGCTCTGTCACTCAGGCTGGAGTGCAGTGGCATGATCACAACTCACTGCAGCAGTCTTGACTTCCCAGGCACAAGTGATCCTCTCACCTCAGCCACTAGAGTAGCTGGGACTACAGGCATGTGCCACCATGCCCAGCTGATTTTTGTATTTTTTGTTGAAAGGGGGTCTCACCATGTTGCTCAGGCTGGTCTTGAACTCCTGGGGTCATGGGATTCAACCACCTCAGCCTCCAAAGTGTTGGGATTACAAACGTGAGCCACTGCACCCAGCCCATTATTTCTTTAAATACTATTCCTGTCTCATTCTGTGTCTCCTCTCCTTCTAGTATGCCAATTACCTGTACATTTAAAATTTAATGTTTTATCTAATGAGTCACGGTGGCTCTGTTAATTTTTTTCAATCTTTTTGTTCTATATTGTTCACCTGAGATAATTTCTACTGATATATTCTCATGTTCATTTGCTCTTAATTCTGACATGTCCATTTGGCTAAGTCTTATAGTAAATTTTTATTTCAGAAATTACATATTTCAGTTCTTGATTTTCCATTTAGTTCTTTTTTTTCTCTGTGTCACTTTTTCTACTGAGACTTCCCATTTCTCTGTTGAGCTTTTTAATGCATTCAAACATGTTTTGTTTTGCTACACTGGGATTAGCAACAAAAGACACTTTAAAATCTTTATTAGTTAGTTCCAAAACCTGGTTCAACCTTAGATTTGATTTCCTTTTCTCTAGGATGTATTCAATTTTCTTGATTTTTTTGTGTATCAGGTAAATTTGTATTTTATGTTGGATATTAAGGCTGCTAAGTTGAAAATATTTTGGTTTTTAAATTTTTATCCAATGAGCATTTTCATAACAGGTATTTTTCTTGGCTGGGCTTGAACTGCAAACTCTTTTTCTTGTGTGACAGCTGTAGTCTCTTTGCTTTTAGTCTATTCTATGCATGCATGTTTTAGGGTTCTCTCATTGATATGGGTAGAGAAAGTTAACGGAGCCCTTCTCTGGTTCTTTCCCTCCTGGGATTCCCTCATTCTCTTCAGTATTTGCGCCCTCTTCACTTCTCTATTATAATAAGTCTCCAGACCAGAGAAGCAAACCTTTTTCTCTTTGAACACAAGTGTTGAGTTGCCTACCTTTTCTTCTTAGGCAAGTATGCTCTCTCTACCAAAGTGTGCCTGCTTCTCTATTCATACTCTGGCAGCTTCATGGTAGCAGCTCTCATCTCATTTCAGTTTTTGTCTTTGGCTGAGCTGCCTTGAGTTGGTCCCATGCATGGGTGGAGATCAACCAGCAATGTGGATAGAGGGCTTTTGTGGAAACAATTGTCTGGCTCTATCTCTTCTAGGATTCCCCCTTTATAGTTTCCTATTCACTTTTCTGATTCTCAGCACCAGAAAGATTGTATGCTCTGCACTACATTTTTTGGGGGAATTGCCCTTAGTCCCAGGCCCAAAGCCAAAGAGATGAGAATTTCCTTCTACAGCTTTCAGTTTCCTTTCCTCCAAGTGAGCATGAGCTCTAACTGGAATCTGCTGTTTCCTCCCCAGTACTTTAAGGTATTTGCTTTTGTATTATGTTCAGGTTTCATAGTTGTTGTTGTTTTTAATAGGGAGGGAGGTCATTTGGTGGAATGTTAGTCTGTTATACTAAGAAGCAGAAACTCAAAAACTCACATGGTGTTAGCAAAGAGCAGATAAACTTTTAGTTGGTTTTATTGGTGTTTTAAAATTCTCTGCAGGAAAACTCCGCATTGTTTGCATGCATGCTAGACTGCTTCAAACACCATCTCCCAACCCCCAGCACGCCACAAAAACAGAATTAATATTTTCACCTAGTTTAGAATAAAACATAATGATGTAAAAAGTGTAAACACACTTTTTGAAATGAAATCCACCCAATTTCAAGAAAATATGAGCTACTTAATTGCAACTTGATGTAATTTAATTTGAATAAGAGTTTCTAAAATACTAGTTTATCATTATATACAACAATATGTTTGTGATTTTTTTTTAGGTGGTAATAATGATTAGAACTGTTTCATTCATGCCCCATTTGACCCTGCTTACTTTAAAGGTATATATATATCAACCTGGACTTATTGGCACACTCTTTGCAATGTAGCAAACTGCTTCAAAAAGGAAGTCTGCCTCTGTGCATTGGTTTCTAACACTCATTAGTGATAAGTTGATCTCTTAACCATTTAAATTATGCTTTCTAATTTCCTTTGTGAGATAAAGTATCATGAGTTGACCTGTGCTTTTAAAACTTTGATTGGTGCTATCTTTATTTTGGTGGTGATATTTATAGGCATAGTTCATAAACATAAGGAACTATTTCAAATGTTCCAAAATGTCATAAACAGACAATCACTCTTGCTGGCCTTCATGGAGCTCACACTCATTGCACCATGCCCTCAGAGGAACCACAGACAAGTACTGATGGGGAAGCAGTCCTGCCACCTACGCTTTCTGTGATAAGGAAGAAAGTGGAGACTCGGATTGGAGCGGGAGAAAGGCAAACAGTGATCAGCAATTTGCCTGAGGGATAGAAATCATGAAGTGAGTATTTTTGCTCCTGGTTTGGCACTCTGTGGGAATGAAAGGAACCTAGAGAATAAAGAGGAGAGGGAGCTGGAAACTGGGATAATGTTTCACCAAATCTCTCCTTTCAATCTTATTTTCAGTAGTCTCCTGATTTTTTTCCCACGCAATTAGTCCACATTTTTGTTGTGTCCTCCAAGGTATTGCTGGAATTTGGTCCTTGTATTGGCTAAAACCCTTTATCAAGTACTACAGCCACTGACATTATGGAGGGACTCCAAAGACAGAATTTGGAGAATTGGAATGTTTCTTTCTTCACCTGTATTCTCTTCTTGTCCTACAAAGCATCATCTGAATGCCTGCAATGACTTTACACAATTTGATGAAGTTTTAGCATTGTCTGTGCTTCTATGTGGAGGACATGATTAAATGGTGCTTTTCTTGTAAAAAAAAAAAAAAAGGCAGGGGGGAACATCGTTTTCCATTATTAATGATGTTTCTCTATACACAGCACACTTCTATAATTTTATATTTACCCATATGACTGAAAAGCTATTTTTTCTATTAGCCTCTTTTAATTTTCCAAATTTCTACTCAATTAAATAGTGCTTAGAGCAGTGCTTTTGTGGTTCCCCAGAGTGCTTTATTTCAATGAGTTTCATTAAGTGTTTCCAATCTTTTAAGCAAAATTAATATTATCACACTTTACTGTTAAAAGGAGATTTGCCACAAAGCATTTATCTGTCAGAGGGTAAATCTGATTTTAAGCAACTATTCTTTATTTTATTTTCCTATTAAATTTCAGGAATAATGAACCCAGTATGAATTTTATATCATTTCCAAACAAAGCAAGGAAAGGACTTATTACATGAATAGACTATAAGTAACAATAAGCAACTCTGTAATAATTACAAAAAGTAAAAGCTGCTCATTAGACATGGTGCTAAACTGAAATAAAATGTAAGAATGATTTAATAAGGAAAGACTTTTCAAAAGAAAAAATCCATATTCATGACAGAATTTGAAATACAGTTCTTAAAAACAAACTGATTAAAAATTAGATGAGAAAAAGTCTCATAAGTTAATGAAAAAAAATTTGGAAAACAAAGATATTCCTAACATATTAAATGAAAAAAGAATTTGTAATTTACACATAGGAGATTATGGGAGCCAAGGTTTTATGATCTGAAAAGATCAGTGGTGTCACTGGTCTGGTCAGAGGTAGGTAAAACTATAACATACACAGCAATAGTTCGTTAGGATCTGTGTCCCCACCAAATATCATATCGAATTGTAATCCCCAGTGCTGGAGGAGGGACCTGGTGGAAGGTGACTGGATCATGGAGGCAGTTTCTCTGGAATGGTTTATCACCATCCCCTTAGTACTGTCCTCACAATAGTGAGTGAGTTCTCTTGAGATCTGCTCCTTTAAAAGTGTGTGGCACCTTCCCCCTCTCTCTCGCTTGCTCCTACTCTGGCCATGTCATGTGTGTGCTCCCCCTTCATCTTCCATCATGATTTTAAGTTTCCTGAGGCTTCCCCAGAAGCCGAGCAGATGCCAGCATCATGTGTCCTGTACAGCCTGTGAAATCGTGAGCCAATTAAACCTCTTTTGTTTATACCCAGTCTTAGGTATTTCTTTATAGCAATTTGCGAATGGACTAATACACTCACTGTTAGTTCTTGCAGGACCACAGTATGTATTGTGCCTGGTAGAAATAAGTCCTCAAAAACAAAACCAAAAACAAATTTGGACAGCAGATATTTAAAAGTGAAGTAAAAATGTTCATCTCCTATCTCTTCCTAATTTTTAGATGAATGCCTCCATCCTAAGTAAGACCATAATACATGATACTGGCCAACTAAATTACCTTTTTGAACCTCAGTTTTAACGTCTCTGACATGGACAATTGTCTGCCTCATAAAGGTAATGAGGGAGATTGTTAGATAATATTTGTGGAAGTGCTCAGATTTGGAGATCAATAAATGTTAGTTGTTTGCAATTTTCTTTCTTGTTAAATCTGGTATTCTATCTACATTTAGGGAACAAGCGAGTCAATACAGATTTACAAATATCATAAACTACACATATTTAACTTCCTAATTTTTATCCTATATTTAATCTTATCTTGCAATAGATTTGTCTTGTAGTCACCTCCATTGAAATCCAGGCTTTAATTTCTCTAAATTGTAATACGAGGCCAGATGTGGTAGCTCACATCTGTAGTGCTAACACTTTGGGAAGCCGAGATGGGTGGATTGTTTGAGCTCAGGAGTTCAAGGCCAGCTTGGGAAACACAGCGAAACCCTATCACTAGAAAACAAAAACAAAAACAGAAATTAGCTAGACATGGCGGCATGTGCCTGTAGTCTCAGGTACTTGGGAGATTAAAGTGGGAAGACTGCTTGAGCCCAGGAGGTTGAGGCTGCAGTGAGCTGTGATCATGTCACTGCACTCCAGCCTGTGCAACAGAGTGAAATCCCATCTTAAAAAAAAAAAAAAAAAATTGTAATAAGAAATTCATGTAGAATCCCTGTTCATTCTGCTTACTTCTGACTCACAATAACATTTATACCATTTTTAACTCCTTACAATGACTATGAAAATATGACAGAAAGTGATTTGGTGAAATCAAAGGAGAAATGACCCCTTTTCTCTCCTACTGCTCTTCATGACCCCAAATACATGACCAGTACTTAGAAAAAAGTCCTCCACATCTCTTGCCCATTTCTAGGATAAAATTTGATTGTGTCAGATATAAAAGAAGTATCAGAGAGTCAGTAAATAATAGGACCAAAGTGATATGAATCAATAAACAAATCAAATCTGATTTGGCAAAAGAGTAAGTTAAACATAATGCTTTAAATTTTGCTTGACACATCAGAATATCTTCTTTTGCATTAGAAAAATCTTTCTTGATGTCTTGGAAAAAAGATTATGGATAATCTTCTTTTGATTGCCCTTGTGTACAAATAGGAATTCTCTTGACAGTTTTATCGTATGTTGTTTAATCATTCGAAGTAAACAAAATCAACTTTTCCTGTGTTTTAATATTTTGTCAATACATGCTTGCTTATTATTTTATCACAAAAGACATTTGAACTAAATTTCAAGCATAGTAATAGCTAGGTTGTATAAAACAATATAATAGATATGTCTTAATGGATTACAGTCTACTTTAATTTTTACAAAAGTAGACGTAAATGTTGGACCCATTTAAGTAAATTCCAAACAGCAGCAAGTTTTCATATTTTAGCTTGCTGTTAATATTTTGCTTCAAACTTCATTCCATTTCAGGAAGGAAAACATGTCACAGCATATAGCACAATTTGAATAATAACCTCAGCTACTGGTTGGTAGTGATAATTCCTGGGAGCACAGGGGACTGTTCATATATTCTGTGTACCTGAGTATCAAGGGCTACCACTGATGGCTGTGTAGGCCTGGTAATAAATGACAAAAGGTGAGTGTTATAAATACATTTGTAAAGATAAGAAACAGCAACACATATGCAATAATGTTGACTCTTTTGGGAGAAACTTTATTTTAGGTTACTCAAAAACTTCCAAATACCTTTAATAAATTAGAATTTTAGAACTTATGGGGATACTTGAAATTATTTCATACCAATTCCTCATTTTACAGAGCACAAACATAGATATTGGACAATCTTTTAAAGTACTTATTTTTGTCTTGTTTGGTCTGAGAGACTGAGATGTTTAGGAGTTCAAAAAGTATTGTCTCCAACAATTTCTCCTTGTTTCTTTTAGTTTCGCTTTTCATATTCGAATGCATTCTGTACACACTCCCTCCCCCACACATAGATGAATTCAACATCTAGAGTTGCAAGAGGGGTATATCATCATTAAAATATTTAACCATAATTAATAAAATGCACTTTGATTCCATGGATACATTCTTCTATGGATCCTCACTTGCAATTAATTTTGTCAGTGTGATGGTTAATGCTGAGTATCAACTTGACTGGATTGAAGGATACAAAGTACTGATCCTGGGTGTGTCTGTGAGGGCATTGCCAAAGGAGATTAACATTTGAGTCAGGGGGTTGGGAAATGCAGACCCACCCTTAATCTGGGTGGGCACAATCTAATCAGCTGCCAGCACAGCTAGAATATAAGCAGGCAAAAAAATGTGAAAAGAGAGACAGGCCTAGCTTCTCAGCCTACATCTTTCTCCCATGTTGGATGCTTCTTGCCCTCTAACATTGGACTCCAGGTTCTTCAGTTTCGGAACTCAGACTGGCTCTCCTTGCTCCTCAGCCTGCAGACAGGCTATTGTGGGACTGTGTGATCATGTGAGTTAAAACTTAATAAACTCCCCTTTATATATATATATGTCTGTTTCATTAGTTCTGTCCCTCTAGAGAACCCTGAGTAATACAGTCCCCCTTTTCCATGTTTCTTTTTTTGCCTGCTGGGTTTTTGCTTACTAATTTTTCCTTGTTACTTTGTTTTATGTGTATACTATAAAAAGGGGAAAAGGTTGTAATTAAAAAACATCTGAAAATATTTTCCTTTGGTTAGCTAATTTTATGTGGCTTTAAAAAATACACTAAATTGTTGTTTCCTTTGATTGGTCTCTTTTTATAAAATTATGATTTCTTTGTCTCTAGAATGTTTCCAGTTTTGAGGATACATATTTGTGTTCAAATCTACTAGTGGTTACTTTTATGTTTTTCAAAATATTACTTTTGTAAGAAGCATAGGCATAACAACCATTAGTTGTCAGATTGAATTTCAGGGCATGTGAAATTTGGAAACTGAGGAAAATGGGTTTGGTATAATAGTGGTATTTTGACAGTAAAAATTGATCTGCTATCTCTGGTAACAGCACACAGAATGTACTTCTAATTTCAATCATTCACTCACTAAATTCATGATTTTCCTACAACTGCACACTAGTACTTAGACTGTCATTTACTTAACATTTTTGTTAAATCAACTTATTTTTTAAATACAAATATTTAGTTTATAGCATTGCCTTAAGCAATAATATCTATGAAATTGTGGGATTGTAATGACAGGTTCATTATTTAAAAATATGTTAAAGTAAATCCATTGCAATTAAAATGAAATATTGTTCACACGAGTATCCTACAAAATAATCTTATATGCCACATGCAGTGGAATACTGATCTAGCTGACATTTCCCTTATTATCAAAGCATAAAGAGGGAAGGGCATGGGTGCAAAGAAAATGCAACAGACGAATAAAAGAAATGAGGATAAAAAGACAGAAAGGATAGGAAAGGCAATGAAAAGTTAAGTATGAAACACAGCAGGTGAAGAAATGAATGGTTGTGGGTATATAGTATTTCTTACAATATTTTTCTTCTCAGTAGTGAATACCTATTATTTTTACTGTCCATTATTCATTCAGCCTTTATTAGGCAATAACAAGATTTTCTCTAAAAACCATGTGGCTCCGTGGTTGAATAATATTTATTCATTTCAGAAATTTTCATTTTTATTAGCATGTAGATTGGTTAACTGCTAGGGAGAAAAATTGGGCATTCACAAACAAAATTATAAATGTGAATCAGTTTTGACTCAATAACTGTTTTTTTTGGAATGTATCAACATTGAAGTAACACAAGTGTCCTCATCAGGCATGGTTGTTGTTGTTGGTTTTTTTTTTTTTTTTTTCCAACTGACTTTCCTGGACTAATTCTATCAAGTCTGTATACTTCGTAATAAGTGACCTCTGAATTTCCTACTCAGTTTTTATTGGTCAGCTAATGATTGGACAAAAGTTTGTCCAGTTTGTCAATTTGTTTGCAATCTGGTGGTAGATATGGGTGGATTAAAATGTAATAAAAATTAGATATGAGCATATTTACTTAAAATAAAAAAATCACAATAAATTTCCAGTTTTTAAAAGTTGACAAATTCCTCAACATCACGATACCTCAAAATTAAATACTTCTATAATTAACAGGTTACACCAGAACTATAATGCCTTTTATCTTCTCTGTATTTTTGACTCCATACTCTTTGATCACCTCTTCTTAGGACAGTGATTTTGTAATATAACTTTCTTTAGTGAGACTAGAAAAATAATTTTGTCGTTCCTCCATTGTGGTTGATGTCTATTTGTTTGCAAAATTGATAGTTTGGTTAAGTAAAACAGGTGGCTGCATACAAACGGTAATATAGTCTCTCAGTATCTGTGAGGGATTGGTTCCAGGACGTCCCACAGATACCAAAATCTGAAGATGCTCAAGTCCTTCATATAAAATGATGTATATTTGCTTATAAGCCATGCATATCCTCCCATGTACTGTAAGTCAGCTCTAGATTACTTATAATACCTAATGCAACGTAAACCCTATGTAAAATAGCTGTTATACTAGATTGTTTAGGGAATAATGACAATAAACAACTGTACATGTTCTGTACAAATGCAATTTTTTGAATATTTATGATCCATAGTTGGTTGAATCCATGGATGCAGAATTCACAAATATGGGAAGCCAACTGTATTTGTCATTTGGAGAAATCCTGCAAGCTTGTGTCCTATAAACATACAAATTCTGATAACTTATATTTGATGTGGTTTTTATAATAAAATAATAACTATACAGTGGGTTTAAAATAATACATGCTATGTTATTGAGCATATTCCTGAAAAAGAAAGAACTTCTGTTTTAACCAGGTGTTGCTGAACACCAAATCTTCACCTTAACTTTTATACAAACTGGCTTCTGGCTCCATGTATTTCAAACATTGCTTCTCTTCTACCACATGTGCATTTCTAGATGTCATAGGGCATGTTTATACCACAATATAATCTCTAGTCCTGCACCTTCATGTAATATTTCTGGGTGAGTCCACACAGTAGGGCATAGGAGTATTCCTAGAAGTTGTTCCTATGTGGGATGGATAGTAGCAACTAACTAGCAGTAACTAACAGTCATGGAAATGACTGCAGCCCACATGAACATGGTCTACTAATAAAAATGAAATACATTGCCAACTTAACTCAATTCTCAGAAATGCTTATAGCTATTGAAAAGTAGATAATATGATGAAAGTATATTACAAATAGACATTAGATTTAACTGATTGTGGTTTAGATCACTTACCTTTGCCAATTTTACCAAATCATATGTGAACAGATTACTAGGGTACCCTCCACCCACTCCCCAGAGCAAGTTGTAGAGGCTCATGCACTAGAGACTCCTAGGCATTTAGCTTCCTTGGCCTCACTCAAAAGCCACCTATGGATAAAGTCATACAGTCATAAATTAACTGTTTTTATAGTTAGAGGATTAAAGGTTGACTATAGGAGCACAATATCTATCATTATTCTAATGGGTCTTCTCTCTAAAACAATAAGTAGAAGCATTCCTGATATTCTTAGACCACATATTCTTTTTCTTTACAGGCAGCCTTGACAAAGCAGCCTACAATTCACACCTTCCATTTTTCACCAAACCAACAAGTCCTGGAATCTGACTGCTGTCTAAATTGTAGTACAAAATCAGCCTTCTAAAATGACTGTGCAATGGCAAAGTGTAATCACCTCTCTGAATTCTCATGTTATTACCTTATATCATAATATATTCCACAGTTAGCTATCTTAAAAAAAACAAAAACTATCCTCTCTTGGTTCCCGTAATAATGTATTCTTCCTGCTCTCTAGCTATTTACTATTAGCCTCTTCACTTCTCTTTTTCCTCTGCTCATTCTTTGAGTGATTGTCTTTCATATAATGATCAACATGCATTGAGAACTGACTGCCACTTGTAAATCACTCTTATACTGAGTGCATTAGACATATTAAACCTCAGTCCTTACAATATACTTGCAAGGTGTGTATTATGTCCATTTTATCTGTGATAAAACTGTGCCATTGAGAGAAAAAAAGTAACTTGCCCAAGATCATGCAACTAGTAAGTGTTGATGCTTAATAGTTCTTTGATAAAATTATACTTCTCTCATCTTTAGTGATCCAGTTAAGTATTTTACATCATTCTGAGTCTATTTTGATTATCCTTTTTTTCAGATAAAATAATATATTGTTTAGGCATTTTCAAATTTATCTTCATTGACTTATATGCTATTTATTTATAATGTGTACATCATCTTTCATTTTTATTCCTAATATTTTACTTTGTTTGATCTGTTCATTGGCTTTAACCTTGCTGAAATTTTATGTAATTTGTAGGTTATTTTAGAAATAGGCCTTAAAATTAATTTTAAATACTAATGTTAAAATGGCTTCTATTTCACTAATTTTTATATTTACCTTTTTAAAATTCTTTCTTTGGCCTTTAGTTTGTTAATCTTCTATCTTCTCAAGTGGAATCTTTAGTTCTTTCATTTTTATTTCCTCTCTCTTTAATAATAAAGCATGCAATGCTATGAATATTCCTCTTAGTATAATTTTAGTCACATTCCATAAATTTCAATATATAATAATGGGTTAATTTCTAATTAGTTTGTAACTGATAGTTTGATATTCTCTTTATATAAATAATTACTTAGGATGGTGTATTGCTTTTTGATTTCTATTTTTGGAATTTTCAATTAGTTTCATTTTATGTGTTTATCCTTTATTAAATTCTAGCACTTTGCATTGTAGCAGAGGATATTGCTATTACATTATTTATTTTAAATATTTATTATATACTAAGTTTCAAAAAAACTCAACAAATCTTTGATAAATATTAATGGATGTTGAAAAAAAGTCTTCTCAATTGTTACTAATCTTATTGACAGTCTCCCAAAAGATAAAGAAAGTGAGAATCCTCCCCAAATCATTCTATGAAGCCAGTATCACCGTAATACCAAAACCAGGAAAGGATAAAACAAAAAAAGAAAACTACAGACCAATATCCCTGATGAACATAGATGCAAAAATCCTCAAAAAATACTGGCTAACTGAATCCAGCAGCATATCAAAAAGATAATCCACTATGATCAAGTGGGTTTCATACCAGGAATGCAGGGACTGTTTAACATCTGCAAGTTAAAAAATATTATAAACCACATAAACAGAATTAAAAACAAAAATCACATGATTTTCTCAATATATACAGAAAAATTACTTGACAAAATCTAGCATCCCTTTATGATTAAAACCCTCAGCAAAATCGGTATAGAAGGGACATACCTTAAGATAATAAAAGGCATTTGTGACTAACCCATAGCCAACATTATATTGAATGGGAAAAAGTTGAAAGCATTCCCCCTGAGAAATGGAATGAAGACAAGGGTGCCCACTCTCACCACTTCTATTCAGCATGGTATTGGAAGTCCTAACCAGAGCAATTGGACAAGAGAAAGAAATAAAGGGCATCCAGATCAGTAAAGAGGAAGTCAAACTGTCACTGTTTACTGATGACATGATAATATACCTAGAAAATCCTAAAGACTCATCCAAAAAGCTCCTAGAACTGGTAAGTGAATTCGGCAAAGTTTCAGGATACAATTCTAGCACAATGTACAAAAATGTACACAAATTAGTAGCCCTGCTATACACCACCAGTGACCAAGCTGAGAATCAAATCAAGAACTCAACCCCTTTTACAATGCTGCAAATAAATAAAATACTTAGTAATATACTGAACCAAGGAGGTGAATGACCTCTGTAAGGAAAACTACAAAACACTACTGAAAGAAATTATAGGTGACCCAAACAAATGGAAACACATCCCATGCTCATGGATGGGTAGAATCAATATTGTGAAAATGCCCATACTGCCAAAAGCAATCTGCAAATTCAGTGCAATTCCTATCAAAATACCACCATCAGTCTTCACAGAATTAGAAAAAACAATCCTAAAATTCATATGGAACCAAAACAAATAGTCCACATAGCCAAAGCAAGTCTAAGCAAAAGGAACGAATCTGGAGGCATTACATCACCTGACTTCAAACTATTCTATAAGCCCATAGTAACCAAAACAACATAGTACTGGTATAGAAATAGGCATAGACCAATGAAACAGCATAGAGAACCCAGAAATAAAGCTAAATAGTTACAGCCAACTGATCTTCAATAAGGCAAACAAAAACATAAAATGAGGAAAGGACACCCTATTCAACAAAGGGTGCTGGGATAATTGGGAAGCCACATGTAGGAGAATGAAACTTGATCCTCATCTCTCACCTTATATAAAAATCAACTCAAGATAGACCAAATCTAAGACCTGAAACCATAACAATTCTGGAAGACAACACTGGAAAAACCCTCCTAGACACTGGCTTAGACAAAGATGACTTCATTACCAAGAACCCAAAAGCAGACACAACAAAACCAAAGATAAATAGATAGGACTTAATTACACTAAAAAGCTTCTGCACAGCAAAAGAAATAATCAGTAGAGTAAACAGACAACCTACAGAGTGGGAAAAAATCTTCGCAATCTATACATCCAATAAAGAATTAATATCCAGAATCTACAAGGAACTCAAACAAATCAGCAAGAAAAAACAAACAATTCCATCAAAAAGTGGGCTAGAATAGACAATTCTCAAAAGAAGATATACAAACGGCCAACAAACATATGAAAAAATGCTCAACATCACTAATTATCAGGGAAATGCAAATCAACACCACAATGTGATACCACCTTACTCCTGCAAGAATGGCCATAATCAAAAATGAAAAAAAAATGTTGGTGTAGATGTGGTGAAAAGGGAATGCTTTTACACCATTGGTGGGAATCTAAACTAGTACAACCACTGTGGAAAACAGTGTGGGGATTCCTTAAAGAATTAAAGTATGTCTACCATTTGATCCAGCAATCCCACTACTGGGTATCTACCCAGAGGAAAAGAAGTCATACAAAAAAGATACTTGCACACCCTTATTTATAGCAACACAATTCACAATTGCAAAAATATGGAACCAGCCCAAATGCCTATCAATCAACGAGTGGATAAAGAAAATGTGGCATATATATACCATGGAATACTACTTAGACATAAAAAGGAACAAAATAATGGCATTCACAGCAACCTGGATGGAATTGGAAACCATTATTCCATGTGAAGTAACTCAGGAATGGAAAACCAAACATTGGATGTTGTTACTCATAAGTCAGAGCTAAGCTATGAGGAGGCAAAGGCATATGGGCCGGGCGTGGTGGCTGTCTCCTGTAATCCTAGCATTTTGGGAGGCCAAGGTGGGTGGATCATGAGGTCAGGAGTTTGAGACCAGCCTGGGCAACATAGTGAAACCCCATCTTTACTAAAAATACAAAAAAAAAAAAATTAGGGCGTGCTGGCAGGCTCCTGTAATTCCAGCTACTTGGGGGGCTGAGGCAGGAGAATCACTTGAACCCAAGAGGCAGAGGTTGCAGGGACCCGAGATCATGCCACTGCACTCCAGCCTGGGCAACAGAGTGAGACTCTGTCTAAACAAACAAACAAACAAACAAACAAACAAACAAAAGATACAATGGACTTAAAGGACTTGGGGTAAAGGATGGGAGGTGGGTGAGGGATAAAATACTACACATTGGGTACAGTGTACACTGCTCTGGTTATGGGTGCGCCAAAATCTCAGAAATCACTACTAAAGTACTTATTCATGTGACCAAACACCACCTGTTCCACAAACACCTATTGAAATTCAAAAAAAAAGTTAAAAAATAATTAAGTAATAAAGTGAAAAAAAAAGTATTCTCCACAGGGTAAAATATCTTGATATTTTTCGAGAAAAGTATGTCAAAATATTTCAGAGTATGTGTTACTTTTTAATCATTCTGAGTATTATTTTAAATAATCTCTATCTCTATCTATGTCCTGTATGAATTGGTATATTTGTAAAATGTGCATAATAACAGTACCTCCTATAGGCTTATTTCTAGTATTAAATGAGTTAACTTATGAAAAGCTCTTAAAACAATACTTGTATATAGACAGTGCATTAGCAGCAGTATAAACATTTATAAATACAGCACATGGAGAATCAGTATAGCATGGTATAAGCTTTAGATTCATATTGCCTGTTTCAACTCAGGTTTTCTGGGAACTGGACTCAGAGAGAGATTTTTAATAGAGGAAGCTTATTGGAATGAGGTCTCTGGATTAATACCCCTGGATGTGAGGGAAGCCAAATTGGGCAAAGGGAGAGTTTGTACTGTCAGGTAATCAAACCAAAGGCCTCAGCCCACTCCTGCAGGTATCTGTAGAGCTAAGATGGTTCCCAAATTGTCTCAGATTGAGGCAATTGGGTGAGGTCCTTACAGCACTGTGAAATTCATCAAAATTTATTGAAATCACTCATCTTAGGATGGCCTCACTCCTATTTTCATTGTTCTAGATTTTTATATTAAAAAATTTATATTTAAAAATTGTATTTATCATTATTTTAGCGGTGACTAAGAAGTCAGCAGAAATACAATGTTTTAAAAATGGGAAGTCTAGCATTTTTTATCAAACATTTATTTTAGTGTTTTTCATTGAGATGCTATTTCACCATCATCTTTAATATTAATAGTGTTAAGTAATTTAAATCATGTCGTGTGTGTGTATTCTGTAATCTTTATAGTGTGAGTTATCAGTTTCAGACAAATTTAGGTTAACATATGCTACTATGAAACTGGAGTCCTCTAATTCTCTTTTGATTTTTATGAGTTTGATTTACATACCAGAAGCTATCATATTATTTTTTCCTCCCTGTTTCTTGTTGGCTAAATCTGATATTCTTTGCTCCATTGTTTTTCTCCTACTGGTTTGGAAGTTAAATCTGTTTTGGAAGTCATATCTACTTTTCTATTGTGTATTCTTGTTAAACCACCATAGCCAAGTTCATGTTTTTAAGTTTTATTAGTCTGTAGAAGTAATTGAGTGTATGTATTCCCGCAATAAAAAGGAAGTCTTAGAACTGATTTTTTTAATAATTCTGATACATTTCTGATTTAAAAAGATGCATCAATTTCTGTGGTTGACAGAATACCTCCTTACCTTCTTCCATCCCCTAATGTTCATATCATAATCCATGGAGCCCATGAATGTTATCTTACATGGAAAAAGGGACTTTGCAGATGTGATTAAATTAAGAGTGTTGAGATGGGGAAGTTACATTGGGTGGGCTTGATAATGGAAGGATAAAAAGCAAGAAACAGTATACTATTTTTCTATGGCTGGCATAAGATATAACCACACATTTAGTAGCTAAATGCAACCCAAGTTTATTGCCTTACAGTTCTCGAGGTCAGAAGCTGAAATGGCTTTTACAGGGCTAAACTCAAGGTGCTAGCAGAGCTGCATTTCTTCTGGAGGCTTTAGAGGAGAAAGTGCTTCCTTGCTTTTTGCATGTTCCTTCTGGTGGCTCTAGGGGATAATTTTTTTCTTACCTTTTCCAGGTTCTAGATACTACCTTCATTCCTCTACATGGCTCTTCTTCCATCTTCAAAGTGTCACTCCAACTTCTACTTCCATCTTCACATCAAATTCTCCGACTCTGACCCTCCTGCTCTCCTTTTATAAGGATCTTTGCAACTCCATTGGGCCCACTGGATCATCCAGGTTAATTTCTCCATCTCGGGATCATTAACTTAATGACATCTGCAAAACCACCTTTACTATGTAAGTTAATATAGTCACAGATTTGGGGCTGTCCAAACGTGGACATCTTTGGAGGGTCATTATTCTACCTACCACACATAGATTCTCCCTTAGAGCTTCTGGAAGAAATGCTATCTTTGATTGTGGCCCTGTAAGACTGAATTTAAGATTTCTGAACTTCAAAAATGTACAATAATAATTTTGTGTTGTCTCAAGCCACTACGTTTGTGTTGATATGTCACAAAAGCAACGGGAAACTAACATACCTTCCTTCTCCTGTATAAATCGCCTTCTGAACACTACAGTGCATTCAGTGCATTAAAAGCCAATCAGTCATTTTGGTTGGAAGTCAACACTTTTAATCAGTTTTGTCCTAAAGTTGATTTGAACATGTGTCAGTTTAATTACCCTCTAGAATATGCAATTCATATAAATGTCATATCTATTAATATCTAAAGAAAAATCCATCTAGCAATGTTAATTATGTGAAAGGATATTTTTTCATATTTGAATCATGTTCCGCCAACTGCATTATCTTATTTGTGTGATTAATTAAAGATAAGGAGGTGTCCTTTATTATACTAATAAAAATATAAGATACCTAGTATTTTACTGTATATAACATAAAATATAAGCAATAAGATAAATACTGCTGCTAAATATATGTTGTAACTTTAAAAATCTGGTGTATTTTTCTATTTGTAGAATAAGAGCATGTTAATTTTCATGCTGGACAAAAATAATTTGATTTGCAATCAAGGCTGATGAGTTTTCACAACTGCCTTTGAAATAAAATATAGAGTATATTACAAAAATATATGTATATATGTATATGTATGTATATAGTCACGCATCACTTAATGATAGGTATACGTTCTCAGAATCATGTCTTTAGGCTATTTCGTCATTGTGTGAACATTATAGAGTGTAGTTCCACAAACCTAGATGGTATAGCCCACTACGTACCTAGGCTATCTGGTAGGGCTTATTGCTGCTAGGCTACAAACCTGTACTGTTACTGTACTGAATACTGTAGGAAATTGTAATATAATGGTAAGCATTTGTGTATCTAAACACAGAAAAGTGATAAAGTGATTTAAAGTTGCATTTCCTGATGTAACTATAAACAATATCCACATTGCTTTTTCTGGCTGGGCATGGTGGCTCATACCTGTAATCCCAGCACTTTGGAAGAATACAGTAAAAATATGGTATAAAAGATAAAAAATAGTACATCTGCATAGGGCATTTAGCATGAATGGAGTTTGCAAGATTGGAAGTTGCTCTGGGTGAATCAGTGAGTGAGTGGTGAGTGAATCTGAAGGCCTAGGGCATTACTATACACTACTATTGACTTTATAAACACTGGACACTTAGGGTGCATTAATTTCTAACATTAATTTTCTTTCTTTAATAATAAATTAACCTTAGCTTACTGTAACTCTTTTTACTTTGTGAACTTTAAAAATTTTAAACTCTTTGACTCTCGTAATAACATCTAGCTTAAAACAGAAACATGTTGCACAGCTGGACAAGATATTCTTTCTTTATATTCTTATTATATAAATTTTTTCTATTTTTGAAATTTAAAATTATTTTTCTTTTTTTTTTTTGAGACAGGGTCTCACTCTGTCACCCAGGCTGGAGTGCAGTGGTGTGATCTTGGCTCAATGCAACCTCTACCTCTCTGGCTCAAGCCGTCCTCTTACTTCAGCCTCCTGAGTAGCTGGGACCACAGGCATGCACCACCACACCCAGTTAATTTTTGTATCTTTCTTGGTGGAGATAGGGTTTTGCCATGTTGCCCGGGTTGGTCTCCAACTCCTGGGCTCAAGCAACCCACCCATCTCAGCCTCCCACAGTGCTGGAATTGCAGGCGTGAACCACCATACCCAGCCTAAATTCTTTTTTTCACTTTTAAACATTTCTGTTAAAAACCAAGACACAAACACACACATTAGCCTAGGCCTACACAGGCTCAGGGTCATCAATATCATTGTCTTCCACCTCCACATCTTATCCCACTGGAAAGACTTCAAGGGCAATAACACACACATGGAGTTTCCATTTCCTATAACAATGCCCTCTTCTAGAATACCTAATGAAGACCAGCCTGAGGCTGTTTTAGTTACATTTTTCTTTTTTATAAATAGAAGTACACTCTAATATAATGATAAGAATTATAGTAAATACATGAACCAGTAACATAGTCATTTATTATCACTATTAAGTATTTATATGATATATAATTGTATGATCTATTTTTATATTACTGGAAGTGTATATGTTTGATTACATCAGCATCTCTACAAACATGTAGGTGATGCACTGTGCTACATGTGGGTACTGCATTATGCTATGATGTCGTGAAGTTACTAGATGATAGGGATTTTCCAGCCACATTATAATCTTATGGGACCGCTATTTTATATGTGGTCTGTTGTTGACTGAAACATTTTTATGAAGTGCATGACCATGTGTATATGTATATGTGCATTGTACACACACACACACACACACACACATTGCAGGTCCATATGTTTACCATGTCAGTTGATAATGGATGACAAGCATTAGTGCAATTTTACGTAAGACTGTTTTTCATTGTATTATAAATATTTATCTTGCTTTTAATGCTGAAAACTAAGTTCATCTGTTGGTGTTCCTTTTTAAGGTATTAGATAAATTTTGGAAATATTGAGGCATTTCCAAAGAGCAATAGACTATATCATGTAGTTCAGGAAATTGAAGATAAGATCACTAGAGAAGCTTATGCGATCTGATAACATGGCTAATATGAAAGAATACAAATTTCTATGTTTCTAAGTTTTCTAAGTATAATAATTACAATTATTATACAATTTTAGTAATATTAATTAATATCATCAATTGGATCTTAAGTGCCTTTTAGTACAGGAAGATTATTTTAATTCTCATTGTAGAATGATTCATACTTTCATTAATGATTCTGTTCTGCTCGGAGAATTAGAGAATAAAAGAATAAAATGTATATATAGGATACAGCATCTAGAATGCATTAGCTTAAAATATTCATCACCATGCAACGATATTGTTATCCCTGTGTTATTATTATTCCTTGTTATAGAGCTTTTCCAGATCTTAAAGTTCCAGATCTTGTAGTATTCTAAATTTTAAAATTCTAAAAATATTTAAATTTGAAAATATTGGCTTTTATAGGGAAATGTGTTGCTTAGGAGATAGCATGTGAACAGTTTTATTTAACAACTGGAGGAAAATGTGAAAAATGTACTTTGCTGAAAGGCAACCCTTGTTTTGATTCATTAGAACTTTAGTAGTCATGTATGATTATTGTAATAATGATAACAAACATATAAAGCCAGGGCTCCTGGAGAGGTGAAACTCCAGGGGAAAAAAATCCTATAATGAGAATCATACAAATCAACTTGCAGCTTTGTTTCTGGAGAAAGTAGAAAGACACTCCCGATTCTTCATAATGACAGGTCAGCTGTCACATGAGCGGGAACAAAATGTACGCAATTATGATGGTTCAAATAAACTCTGAAGAAGAAAGCCTGAAAAGGTAGTTTAAATTTAAAGCCAACTGGTAGTTCCAGAAGGCATCTCATAAAAACAGATGCATGTTTTCTCTGTAGGAATTCTTAAATGTAGGCTTCAAAAAATTTCCAAAGTTATGTCTTCCAGAGGAAAACGAGTTCACAATCAAACATCTCAAAATAAATAAGAAAATAATTCACCATGACTAAGAATCATTAGAAAAAATAAATATTTACCCACAGAGACTAAGTCGTAAGATCTGTACACCAATAACATTCAAGCTGAGAGCCAAATCAAGAATGCAATCTCATTCACAATAGCCACACACAAAAAATAAATACTTAGGAATCCAACCAAGGACGTGAAAGTTCTTTACAAAGAGAACTACACAACATTGCTGAAAGAAACCATGGATCACATGAACAAATGGAAAAACATTTGGAAAAACAATAGTCATAAAAAAATCAAATTACGAAACATACAAACAAAGAGGTGAAAGAGCTCTACAAAGGGGACAAGACACTACTGAAACAAATGGAGAAACATTCCACACTCATGGATTGGAAGAATCAATATTGCTAAAATAGCCATGCTGCCCAAAGCCATTGACAAACTCAGTGCTATTCCTATGAAACTGATGGCAGTTGTGGGCCATCTGGAGCAGCTACTGCCACCATGCTGGGCTGCACACTTCATGGAGCCAGCTGGAGCTGGGAGGAGGCAGGAGCCCCGCCCTCCCAGGTGCAGCTGCAGCCACCTAAACCATGGCTGCAGATGTGGGCCTCCCACTCCACAGAGCAGGCATGCAAACCCAGGCATCCCTGCACTCTCAGGGGCCTGGGAAGTGCCCCCCCATTGCTTTCTCAGAGCTACGCACTCTGCTAGCAGCTGAACACTAGTTGGGACACCTTGGCTGTGGAAAGGAGCTGCCCCTTGTGGGCTTCCTCTGAGCTGTTCTATCGCTCAATAAAGCTCCTCTTCGTCTTGCTCACCTTCTGCTTGTCTGCATACCTCATTCTTCCCAGGCACAGGATAATAACTCAAGACTTGCCAAATGAGGCTAAAAGAGCTGTAACACAAACAGGGCTGAGATATGCCCCTTGCTTGCCATGTTGGGGGTGAGGAGAAGGAAAGAAGAGAGCTAAAGCCCTTAAGTGACTCTAGACCTGGGAGCTCCCTGAGCCAGGGCTGTGACTCCCTCTTTGAGTTCCTGGAGTCTCCAAGCTTCTAGATGCCACCATGTTCCCTGGTGTCAGCCATGGAAGGTGCTTGCAGTGTGCTTGGTCCAGCCACATCCTCACAAAGTGCCAGCACCTGTGCTAGCACCTGGAGCTTCCTACCCTGCTGCAGCAGCTGGCATGACTGACTGTTTGCAGCGGCTGGACCCCATGCTCACCCACACACCCTTGACATTCCGCGCCTTACTCACCCTTGGCAGGCATAGTACTCAGGCCGGTAGTGGCAGCTGAGCACAGTCTGCCAGGCTGAGTGAGTGAAACGAGCCCAGAGGGCCCAAACAGAACTCAAGCAAAGGTACCACCAGCCACAGATGTTTCTGGCCAGAAAAATGACACCCCAACGATCCCATAACAAAACAACCTATACCATTTTTCATAGAACTTGTAAAAACTATGCTAAAATTCATGTGGAACCAAAAAAGAGCCCAAATAGCCAGAGCAATCATAGGCAAAAAGAACAAAGTTGGAGCATCACATTACTGAATTTCAAACAATACTATAAGGCCACAGTAGCCAACACAGTATGGTCCTGGTAGAAAAACAGACACACAGACCAATGCAACTGAATAGAGAACCCAGAAATAAAGCTGCATACCTACAACCATCTGATCTTTTACAAAGTTGACAAGACTAAGCAATGGGGAAGGACTCCTTAGTCAATAAATGATGCTAGGTAGCTAGCTAGTCATATGCAGAAGAATGAAACTGGACCCCTACCTTTCACCATATACAAAGATTAACTCAATATGAATTAAAGATTTAAGTATAAGATTTCAATCCATAAAAAAATTCTCGAAGAAAACCTAGGAAATACCATTCTGGACATTGGCCTTGGGAAATAATTTATGACTAAGTTCTCAAAATTGCAACAAAAACAAAAATTGACAAGTGGGACCCAATTAAACTAAAGAGGTTCTGCACAGCAAAATAAACTATCAATAGAGTAAGCAGACAAACTACAGAACACGAGAAAATATTTGCAAACTCTGCATCTGACAAAAGTCTAATATCCAGAATCTATAAGAAACTTAAACAACTGAACAAGCAAAAATAATAATAATAATAATAATAATAATAATAATAATAATAACCACATTGAAAAATGGGCAAAAACCATGAACAGACACTTCTCAAAAGAAGACATAAAAGTGGCCAACAAACATATGAAAAAATGATCATCATTATTAGTCATCGGAGAAATGCAAATCAAAATGACAGTGAGATACCATCTTCCACCAGTCAGGATGGCTATTATTAAAAGGTCAAAAAACAACAAACGCTAGTGAGGCTGCTGAGAGAAAGGAACACTTATACACCATTGGTGGGAATGTGAATTAGTCCAGCCACTGTGGAAAGCAGTTTGTAGGTTTCTCAAACAACTTAAAATAGAACTACTATTTGACTCAGCAGTGCTATTACTGGGTATATATAAAAAAAATAAAATGGCCGGGTGCGGTGGCTCACGCCTGTAATCCCAGCACTTTGGGAGGCCGAGGTTGGCAGATCACGAGGTCAGGAGATCGAGACCATCCTGGCTAACATGGTGAAACCTCGTCTCTACTAAAAATACAAAAAATTAACCAGGCATGGTGGCGGGTGCCTGTAGTCCCAGCTACTCGGGAGGCTGAGGCAGGAGAATGGCGTGAACCTGGGAGGCGGAGCTTGCAGTGAGCCGAGATCGTGGCACTGCACTCCAGCCTGGGCAACAGAGCCAGACTCCGTCTCCCAAAGAAAAAAAAAAAAAATGAGACACATGCTCTCATATGTTAATCACAATACTATTCACAATAGCAAAAACATGGAATCATCCTAGGTGCCTTTCAATAGTGAATTGGATAAAGAAAATGTGGTGCATACATACCACGGAATATGGCTATAAAAAAGAATGACATCATGCCCTTTGCAGCAACAAGAATGCAGATGGAGGCCACTATCTAAGTGAATTAACACAGGAACAGAAAAGCAAATACTGTGTGTTCTCATTTATAAGTGGGAGCTAAACAGTGGGTACTCATAGACATAAAGATAGCAACAATAGACACTGGGGGCTAAAGGAGGAGGAAAGGAGAAGGAGAAAGCTTGGAAAAGTAGCTACTGAATATTACGCTCAGTATCTGGGTGACTAGGATCAATCACACCCCCAACCTCCGCGTCAAGCAATATACCCATGTAACAAACCTGCACATGCACCCCCTGAATCTAAAATAAAATTTGAAATTATAAAAAAATGAGAAAAAAAGTGAAAGCTAAGAATCAGAGTAGACAAAGTGGAAGAGAAATTAGTGAACTAAAAGTTAAATGTGAAAAAGTGTACTCAGGGTATAGTACAAAGAAATGTAGAGAAAAATCATTATTAATATTGAAATAATGAAAACTTTCTCTTAAAAATGGAAAATATTCAAGGGTGCCTACTAATAACGCTTGTCATGATTGAACTGGAGGTCCAGTTTACCAGACTTGTGAGGCCAAGGAAAGAAGGAATAAATAATTGAACAAACAAATACATTAGATATTTAAAAATTAGGAGAGAGGTTTAAAATTGTCATTATGTGTATAGAAAATTCAAAGTAATATTAGATACATTATTTGATTTGATAAGAGACAAAGTAACTAAATACCAAGTACACAAAATCAATTTGTATTTCTATATACCAGCAACAAATGAATACATGGGAAAAAGCCAATTGAACAGAGAAATGATGAAAGAGATTTACAAAATCCAATTAGATAATAAATATATCAAAAAGTTGTCAACCTCAGTTGCAATTGAAAAAATGCAAGTCAAAATTAATAAGAAAGCATTATACCCACCAAATTAACAAAATTTAAAAGTTTGACAACATGATATTTGGGTGAGAATGTGAAACTATTTGGAAAAAAAAACAATCAGGCATTATCTTATCTAGCAAAGTTAAAAATACAGTACTCATTTTCTCCTACCTACCTCACAAATATGTAGGAAATAGTTGAATAATTTTTTTAAAAACTATATCAAACCATAGAAATAAAATTAATTAAAAAATGAAAAGTAAAAGGCCAAAAATGAAACATCAATGGCTGAGAAACATATAAACAAATGCCCAACCTCATAAGTAATTAAATAAAGGTAAATTAAGATAGCATTTTCACTTTTAAAATTAGTAAAGACTACAAAGAAAAATACCAATTTTTACATGGTTGTTATAAAATAAATGTTGCCACACACTGCATATAAAACTGTTAATGGATACAACTTTCCAGAGTGTTATTTGGCAGTTATTATGAAAGTGTCTCATCTTTTGAATGAGTAATTTAACCTTTTAACTTAGAAAATAATAACAGACAAGCACAAAGATTGACAAGCAAGAATGATCACTCAAGTGAAATTTTCAACAGCAAAATAAATGTAAAACTTTCAAAGCTACTATAAAAGAAGGACATTTGCTAAGTTATGGCATATCCACACTGTGAACTATGCTTTACAATTCAATGTTGTGGAGGAATCCTCTCATGATTGTGACATGACACAAACTGCTTAGAGAAAAAATGCTGGTATAGAACGATGCCCACACTGTTTAAATATTACACATATGCATAAAATGGGTAAGATGTTTAGAACATTTATTGCTGTGTGTGAGATATCAGGCAATTAGGTAATTTATACTGGTAGTCCCAACTTATGATGCTTTTACTTAGACTTTTTCAACTTCATGATGGTGCAAAAGTGACAAGAATTCAGCAAAAACTATGCTTCAAATTTTGAATTTTTTTAATTATAAAATGTTTTACAAAACAAGCTCTGTGTTAGATGATTTTGCCCATCTGTTGGCTAATGTGAGTATTCTGAGCGTGTTTCAGACAGACAAGAATAAGTTATGATGTTTGGTAGGTTAGGTGTATTAAATACATTTATGACCTACTGGTATTTTCAACTTACAATGAGTTTATCAGGACATAAACCCATCATAAGTCAAAGAGCATCTGTGTTCTTTTTTATTTTCCAGATTTTCTATAATGTAACATTGATTTTATTCACATGAAAAAATTATTTAAAATATATCAGGAAATTGATCGTACATATTGTCACCACCATGGCATTTCTAATATAATACTTATGTTCTTTTTTCTTTCATAACAAACAATTTTGGCTAGGTGTGGTGGCTCATGCCCATAATCGAAGCATTTCGGGAGCCAAGGTGGGAGGATCACTTGAAACTAGGAGTTCAAGACCAGTCTGGGCAACATAGTGGGACCCTGTCTCTACAAAAAATAAAAAACTTAGCCAGGCATGGTGGTGCCCACCTGTAGTCTTAGCTACCAAGGAGACTGAGGTGAGAGGATTGCTTGAGCCTGGGAGTTCGAGGCTGCAGTGAGCTGTGATTGTGCCACTGTGCACTAGCCTGTGCAACAGAGTGGGACCCTGTCTCAAAAAATAAAAATAAATTTTAAAAAATAAACAAAAATTTTATTTTTATTGTTTCTCAAGTAGATAGATGTGTAGCCCACAGATTTTTTTTACAAAAATATTTAACTGACAAAGATTGTATATATTCAAGGTATACAACATGATTTGATACACATACACACTGTGTAATGATTACCACAGTCAAATGAAGTAACACATTCACCACTACCCATGCTGTACACTAGATCTCCAGAACTTCTTCATCTTCTATCTGGATGTTTGTACCCTTTGACCTTCATTTTCCTGTTTTCCTCACAACCCGGACACTGTTACTGCTGTTCTACTCTCAGCTTCTAAAACAGCTCCTGTCTGCAGCTGGTCATCCCGACATCTGCTGCTCTCAGCAGAGGTGAAGCCCTGGTGTGGGTAACTCCTCTCCACAGCTGGTTGAGCCAATGCTGGCTCAGCACTGCTGAACCCAGGGCTTTTATGGGCCTGACAGGGGAGGAAGTGCATGCTGATTGGTCCATAGGTGGCCATGGGCAGGCCCAGAAAAGGCACAACAAATTCCCACCCCAGTCTGTGGGACTGGCAGCCAGCTGGCCCTCCCTGGTCTGAAGGTGGGCCTTACCAGGGACCTGCCCCCTTCTGCCCAGGAACCTGTAGGAGCCTACCTCCTGATGCTGTTTATGGTTTCCAGGCTGTAGGTGACAAGGGGTGCCTGAAGGCTGGCGTGGAGCTTCCCTCAGCTACCCATTGCCCTCCTTCCTTTGCTCGTAGGCACCCAAAGTCTGGAGGAGGCTGAGAGACAGGGGGCTGGTGTGTCAGCACTGCCCTGAGGATGTGCACAACTGGCCAGGCTGTGACAGCACCTGGGCTCCACCTGACTTTGCTCTGATACCAGAGCGGGTGCCAGTAACAGGGAGAAGCCAGGCAGAGGGAGCAGGCACTTCTGAGCCTGTGAAGGCAGGGAGCAGCTTCTTGGGCCCCCAAGAGTGCAGGGATGCCTGGGTCTCCAGCTGCGGTTTGGGTGGCTGCAGCCGTGTGGGGGTGCAGGGCTCCTTCCTGCTCTATGGAGTGGGAGGCCTGGGTCTGCAGCAGCGACTTGGGAGGCTGCAGCTGTGCCCAGGAGGGCGGGGCTTCTGCCTGCTCTCGGCACTCCCAAGAGAACAGGGAGGCCCAGGTCCACTGTGGTAACTTGGGTGGCTGCAGCTGAGACAGGTGGGGTGGGGCTCCTGCTGCCCTGTGCAGTGAGAGGTCCGGGTTTGCAGCCACGACTTGGGCAGCTGCTGTTGCACCTGGGGAGCTCTTGCCCCACCAGCTTGGAAGGGATGGGGCTCCCGCTTGTCCCTGGCTCCTCCCAGCTCTGTGGAGTGTGCAGCCCAGGTGGCATCTCCCTGCTTCCACCAGCATGATGGCAGTGACGGCTCCAAATGGGCCGTGCTGCCATCAACAATACAAAGATAGTGATATCAAGTACCATAAGCAGATTAGAATCTCATTTTTAAACCATTGTTTATATGTTGGTAGAAAAAAAGTCAAGCATAATTACCAAACACACTAAATGTTTTTTTTTTTTCCAAACAGCAATCATTTCTTTGTGTCATTTTTAATGGTCATTTGTAAAGTGTATTCTTCCTCTAATATTTGTCATTTACATTAGCAATTGTGTTCTTCTTGGCAGTTTCTAACAATCAATGCTTCCCAGCTCCAGCACTATTTATCTTCTTGTTTTAACTCTGATGCAAATCAGTTCATGAGCTAGAGAAAAAACTAAAAAACTGTCATACAGGCTTTTTGGAACATGAAACCCTGAAGTTACTGATGCTAAAATTCACTCTTAAGCTCATACTTTTAATTTCTTAATATGTAATACATGGCAATACTCTTATTAGACAAAATTGTTTAATTTCTCTTAGTTCTTAGCAAACAAAAGTTTGATAGTTGAGCTATGATAGTCCTCAGATATTTGTTAGTTTACCTTTTTGTTCTCATTTTTAGTTTTTGGTGTTTATTTTTATTTTTATCACAGCAAAATAAACATATAATAAAAATATTTTAAAGGGTTATAGTAAAAATAAATAGAATGATCCTACACATAGATCTTCTCCAATTCTAATCTCTTTTGAATTATCTTTTAATGGGCTCAGTTATTAATTTTAGTTGTCTCCTTTTATTAAATAATGTAATATTACTATTTATTGATTTATTATTTTTTAATATAGTCTATTAAATTCTTGTTATAAAAAATGAGGATTTAGCTTAACATACTCATTCTATAATTTATTTTCTCCCTCATTTTCCCGTTTTTTTCTCCAAAGAGGTATAAACATTTCTTTATTTGAAACATATGGCAAAGAGAAAATATCTAGATATTTGAACATAATGTTAGTCCAAACATTGAAAATGCGCAATAGCTATAAACAAATTAAGGAAAGCTATCATAAAATAACAGCTTAGATACGTTTTAAGGAGCATTTATAGTAAATCTGGGAATGGGGAGGGGAAGCCCACAGAGATAGAATTCATGTAGCCCTAAGTACAAATATTGCTGAAATTTTTGTGGACTGAGGCTCAGAAATTTAAGTACAGAACCAAACATCCCCATTCTGTGCCTTCCTACACATCTGCCCTTTTCAGAATCTCCCAAGGAAAAAGGAGGACTGCGGCTGAGATGAAAATACCCACAAACACCAGAGCTGACTGGCTTGCTTGCATTTATTTTCTTTTGGAAGCTAGAGTGCACCATTTCCACCCAGGGTCTGCCTGACCTGAGCCGCTGACCAGGGACATGTGGTGTGCAAGGACCATCCCATCCTGCAGCCCTGGTCACTCTAGGAAAATCTCCATGTGATGCCTGGCATCAGAGTAAACTGGGGTCTCAAAAGATGAATTAGGACAAGCATGGAAAGCATAGCGTGCCAAGGAATCCATGTAAGGAGGCCATGCTGGAGCTGGTGAGATTTCTCCTGGCCTCCTTTCTGAAGGACTTTGTCTTCCCTCTCAGTTTGAGTCAGTGGTGGTCCGGCTGCTGATGCCAGTTCCCACTCACAGGGCTTGAGTGGATGCCCTGGGCTTTACCTCAGAGGCCACCCAAGGCAGTGCCTGCCCCTTCTCTGAGTCTTTTCCCAACACCTGGGCTCCCAAAAGTTTGTTCTGCCCTAGTTCCTGCCCCTCAAACCCTGTCAAAAAACACCAAGTGAAAAACCCTTCAAAAAATCGAAGAATCCAGGAGCTGCTTTTTTTTTTTTTGAAAAACTCAATAAGATAGATAGACTGCTAGTGAGACTACTAAAGAAGAAAAGAGAGAAGATTCAAATAAACACCCTCAGAAATAGGGGGATACGACCACTGACCCCACAGAAATACAAACTATTATCAGAGAATACTATAAACAGCTCTCTGCAAATAAATTGGAAAATCTAGAAGAAATGGATAAATTCCTGGACACATACACCCTCCCAAGACTGAACCAGGAAGAAGTTGAATCCCTGATTAGACCAATAACAAGTTCTGAAATTGAAGCCGTAATAAATAGCCTACCAGCTAAAAAAGCCCAGGTTCATATGGATTCACAGCCGAATTCTACCAGAGGTGCAAAGAGTAGCTGGTATCATTAATTCTGAAACTATTCCAAACAGCTGAAGAGGAGGGACACTTTCCTAAATCATTTTGTGAGGCCAGCATCATCCTAATACCAAAGCCTGGCAGATATATGACAAAAAAAGGAAACTTCAGGCCAATAGCCCTGATGAACTTTGATGTGAATATCCTCAAAAAAAAAATACTGGCAAACTGAATCCAGCAGCACATCGAAAAGCTTATCCACCACGATCAAGTCGGCTTCATCCTTGGGATGGAAGGCTAGTTCAACATATACAAATCAATAAATGTAATTCATCACATAAACAGAACTAAAGACAAAAACAACATGGTTATTTCAATAGATGAAGAAAAGGCCTTCAATAAAATTCAACATCCTTTCATGTTAAAAACTCTCAATAAACTAGATATTGAAGAACATACCTCAATAAGAGCCATTTATAACAAACCCACAGCCAATATCATACTGAATGGGCAAGAACTGGAAGCATTCCCCTTGAAAACTGGCACAAGACAAAGACACCCTCTCTCTCATCACTCTTATTCAACATAGTGTTGGAAGTTCTGGCCAGGGCAATCAGGAAAGAAAAAGAAATAGAGGGCATTTAAATGGGAAGAGAGGAAGTCAAATTGTCTTTGTTTGCAGATGACATGATCCTATGTCTAGAAAACCCCACTGACTCAACCCAAAAGCTTCTGAAGCTGATAAGCCACTTAAGCAAAGCCAACCCCCCCCAAAAAAAAGATATGCAGAAATCACAAACATTCCTATACACCAACAACAGACAAGCAGAGAGCCAAATCATGAATGAACTCCCATTCAAAAATGCCACAAAGAGAATAAAATACCTAGGAATGCAGGTAATAAGGGAAGTGAAGAACCTCTTCAAGAGAACTACAAACCACCACTGAAGGAAATCAGAGAGGACACAACCAAATGGAAAAACATTCCATTCTTATGGATAGGAAGAATCAGTATCATAAAAATGGTCACACTCCCCATAGCTGTTTATAGATTCAATGCTATTCTCATTAAACTACCATTGACATTCTTCACAGAATTAGAAAAAAAAAACTATTCTAAAATTCATATGGAACAAAAAATAGCTCACATAGCCAAGACAATCCTAAGCTAAAAGAACAAAGCTGAAGGCATCACACTATCTGACTTCAAACTATACTACAAGGCTACAATAACCAAAACACCATGGTACTGGTACGAAAAACAGGCACATAGACAAATGGAAAAGAATAGAGAACACAGAAATTAAACTGCACATGTATAATCATCTGATTTCAACAAACCTGACAAAAACAAGCAATGAGGAAAGGATTCACTGTTTAATAAATGGTGCTGGGAAAATTCACACAAGAACAGAAAACCAAACACCACATGTTCTCACTCAAGTGGGAGTTGAACAATGAGAACACATGGACACAGGGAGGGGAACATCACACACAGGGGCCTGTTGGGGGATAGGGGGGTAGGGGAGGGATAGCATTAGGAGAAATACCTAATGTAGGTGATGGATTACTGGGTGCACCAAACCACCATGGCACGTGTATACCTATGTAACAAACCTGCACGTTCTGTACATGTATTCCAGAACTTAAAGTATAATAAAAAAGGGAAGGCATAAAAATATCTGAAAAAATAGATGAATAAATAAATAAATAAGTGGTGCTGGGAGAACTGGCTAGCAATATGCAGAAAACTGAAACTGGATCCCTTCCTTACACCTTTTACAAAAATTAACTGAAGATGGATTAAAGACTTAAATGTAAAACCCAAAACTATAAAAACCGTAGTTTTTATAGTTTTGCCTCTCCCTTTTCCTTTACCATTCCCCACTCTAAAACATTCCTTCTCTTTTCAAGCCTCAGCCAAAACACCTCTGGAAAAGTTTAGTCTCTTTACACAAACACCCCACCTCCTAACCAATTACCTCCTAACGAATTGTTTCTTTCCTCACATGAGGAGATGAATGATATTTCCAGGCAGGGCCTTGGGTCCTAGCTCCTCCCCTATATCTGAAACAACTTCAGAAAAATATGTGCTGTATGTAAGATAAACAAATGAATACTTTCTTAAATATATAACAAGTTCCTACAAGTAAAGTGTTTCCTGACCATCCTATTTAAAGTAGGCTGTTATCATATCAACTTATTCATCTACCATAGAGGTTATCATTGACAAAGTCTGTTTACATATTTGATTATTTGTTATTTTTTGCTCTAATGTAGACTCCATGAGGATGGAGACATTTATTTCCAGTGGCTAGAACCTATTAGGGTAAAGAAAATAAATAAGTAATTTATTTTTAAAAATCCAAACTTCAAAGAGCATATTCAAATTATTCAAAGGCAGTATATATTTGAACATTGAATATATTTGAATATATATGAATTCTTGAATATTTTAATATACTTTTTAACCTTTCTAAAATGGAAATATTTTTAAAAGATAGCTTCCTGTATTAAAAATTGGTAAAGAAATAATGGCATTCCAGAGAAGTAATTATTGTGGCAGCAAATATTAGTAAAATCTTTAGGCATTCAAAAGCTTTAACATTTTTTTTCATAATATTTGACCTAAGGTTTAATCTCTGGGAATTTCCTGGGGTAATACTCATGGGTGATTACGGTGGTTTAATTTAATTAGTACTCATTGCAGAACTGCTCAGAATGAAAAGAAAAACCCCACTCAACAAAAAGGGAATAATTAAATAAATGATAGTACATTTGTTCAATGAAATTCTAGGCAACTGTCACAAAAATCCAGTAGCAGGTATTTAATGATCAAAAACAATTTCATAATATATGTGTACAACTAGGTTTTATGCCAGTCCTTCACCCTTTTCTTATTTTTACATTAAAAACAGGCATAAATAGACAAGAAGACACACACACACACACACACACACACTCAAAGTGTGTCTGTATAAATACTGGGGAATAAGCACAAAACCTTGAAGCCAGAGTTTAGTAATTGCCAGTAATTTTTGTTACTTTTTAAATGTAATCTCAAAATTTTAGAATGAGCACATATGCTTTTTGTAAGAAACATTGCTAAAAGAATAACAATGTTCTAAAAACAAAATTATATTACACTGGCCCTGAAAATGTCAAGTTAGTTTTTCTGGAATCACGCATTAAGTCTGTTTGATGAACTCAATCGTATTTGGCATACGAGTACTTTTCCTGGACTCTGGCTCAGCTTCCGTGTTTGTGTTACTTGTAACAGACAGGCTTATCTCTTCTGGACTTTGACATTATTTTTGCTATTGTTTTCTGCTTGACATGATGCTACTAATCTCTTCTGGGACTGCTTCTGAAACCAAAAGCTGAGAAAAGAGACCAGGCTGCTGATTCCTTCATGCTCCCCTTGGTTTCATCTTGTTGGTAAGGTACAGTGTAAAGGGCTTTGGTTTGTAACAGCATTATTTTGCAGCTCTTAGATTGCTTTGGACAAAACCCTAAACCAAACACAGGCATATGGAGAAGTTTATAGGAATAACACTGGGCCGTCTCACTAGGCCAAAGCGGTTGTTGTGGATTGAAATCTGGGAAGAGCAGACGCAAAAATGCCCCAGATGCAGACCAAAGTATTCAGATGTGACCAGGATTCACCCTCCAACTCTTATCCTGAGTTTCTTTTAACTGTAGCTTCATCTCTTTCCTAGTACAACAGTTTTGTCCCTTTTTATCCTTAGTTTGGATTAGGTTTCTGTCATTGTCACCCAAGGGCTCTTGCTAATGCTCAATATTTATAAGGTTTCATAGTCATTTGAAAAGAACTGATTTACTCTGATAGTGTCATTTATAATGCATCTATTAACCACATGTATAATTATAGTTTTCAAAGTCCTTAATACTTATTTAGTGCTTATATACTCACTTGTTATATACTGAGAAATATAAATTCCCAAACCACTAATCTTTTATCAGTATTTACTTTTATGAGTATCTCAGTATTATATTTTAATGTTTCCCTTTGTGCTGTATTAACATCTATAATATTTATACGTACACTAGGTATGCCTGGTGTAACAGACACTATCTTGTGTATTCTATGAAAAAAATCATAGTTTTAAAAAATAACGCTATACTTTCTATAATTATGTATTTATTTTGTCAATTCAATTAAAAATTTATTTTACTTAGATGAAACACTAGACAAGCCCAAGGATCAAATGTTTTTAAAAAGCAACATGTAGCTTTACATGAAACATGTAGTTTTACCTTTCCACGTCATGGAAAGGTACAAGTGAATTCTGTTAACTCTGTCCCTTTGGTTTCTCAATGGAAATTAAAAAAGTAAACATACTGTAAATTTTTCTTGTTTGAATATATATAAAAGGCATATTTGTATCAAATGAGGTCAGTAGTATGTGTTTAGTTAGAAAGAACTTCATGTTCTTTGCAGGACACACAGGATATATCCTGCTTTCTTATTCTCTGCTTTCCAACACATTAATCCTCACATGTTAATTATTCAAATTCTGCAGTGATATTTAATTAGTCTATGACATTCCACTGTGAGTGAATCCAGTACCACATAGAAGTTTAGGGCCCTAGCTCTAAAGGCAGATAGACTGTGTTCAAATTTTAGCTTGTCTACATTTTTGCGGTAAAGTTTCCTCGGTGAATTACCTAACTGGTGTGCACTTCATTTACCTCATGTGTTCATTAGTGATAACTACAGTAGCTCCTCATATTAATTTTATAAAGATTCAGTGGGTTAATCACATAAAATCTTAGTCTTGTCCGTAGTATGTGATTAAGTAATATTACCTGCTACTTTTACTTCCCCAAATTATTGTTTTCAATACTCTCAGTGCATATTCATTATGGTAGAGCTTCACCCTTGTATCACAGTTTCTTACAAATTGCTCTGAACTCCTATATTTTGTTAACATTTCTTCTATGGTGTCTCACAGTTCTCACATACAAGTTGACAATTTATACTTGTTAAAACTTTTGTTTGTATCCTCTTTTATTTCATTGAGCAGTGGTTTGTAGTTCTCCTTGAAGAGGTCCTTCACGTCCCTTGTAAGTTGGATTCCTAGGTATTTTATTTTCTTTGAAGCAATTGTGAATGGGAGTTCACTCATGATTTGGCTCTCTGTTTGTTATTGGTGTATAAGAATGCTTGTGATTTTTGTACATTGATTTTGTATCCTGAGACTTTGCTGAAGTTGCTGTATGTTTATTGCGGCACTATTCACAATAGCAAAGACTTGGAACCAACCCAAATGTCCAACAATGATAGACTGGATTAAGAAAATGTGGCACATATACACCATGGAATACTATGAAGCCATAAAAAATGCTGAGTTCATGTCCTTTGTAGGGACATGGATGAAACTGGAAATCATCATTCTCAGTAAACTATCGCAAGAACAAAAAACCAAACACCATATATTCTCACTCATAGGTGGGAATTGAACAATGAGCACACATAGACACAGGAAGGGGAACATCACATTCTGGGGACTGTTGTGGGGTGGGGGGAGGGGGGAGGGATAGCTTTAGGAGATATACCTAATGCTAAATGACGAGTTAATGGGTGCAGCACACCAGCATGGCACATGTATACATATGTAACTAACCTGTACATTGTGCACATGTACCCTAAAACTTAAAGTCTAATAATTAAAAAAAACTTTTAAGATATGATTATGTACACACTTCAAAATTTATGAAACACAACCTCTCTCCCTAGAGTCAACATGTATACATTAACAGGAATAATATAAAATTAGTAGATGCTAGTGATGTTGCTGGCTTGAGTGATTGTGTGAAAACTATTCCTAGTTGCATCTTGGGGAAACATACCAAAGTGTTTTATGTTTTGAGATTATGAATGGTAACTTTTATCTGAAAACGTAAAAGAGCCCTCTTTCCCATGTTTCAATTTTTCATGTAATTCTACTTCACTGGTGTTAATATGCTCTCCCTTGCTTCCTTTTTTCTTTGCATTCAAGTTACACATCATTGCCCTACTTATTGTGTGTGTATATGTGTGTCTTACAATTTTTTTATTGTGGTAAAACGCACATGATGTAAAATTTACCATCTTACCCTTTTTGAAGTGGCTAAATTCAGTGATATTAAATACATTCATATTGTTGTGCAACCGTCACTATCTTCCATCTCCAGAACTCTTTCCATCTTGCAAAATTGAAACTCTATGCCCATTAAACAATAACTGCCTAGTCCTCTCTCCTCCCAGCTCCTGGCAACCACTATTTTACTTTCTGTCTCTATGATTTTGACTGTTCTAAGTACCTCATATAAGTGAAAACATATAGTATTGATCTTTTTGTGATCAGGGTTTTATGATTGGTTTATTTCATTGTTTGTGATTGGTTTAATTTCCTCAAAGTTTATCCGTGTTGTAGCAAATGTCAGAATTTCCATCCTCCTTCAGGCTAAATAATATTCCATTTTATGTGTGTACTAGATTTTACTTATCCATTTATTTGTTGATGGACAATTGGGTTGCTTCCATGCTTTAGCTATTGGAGATAATGCTGCTCATGAACGGCTGTAACAAATTGCCCTGTTTTTCTTTAAATCTCTATAAATTATTCTATTTGAATCGAGTGTTTCAGCTTTGTCCTTAACTTCTGTTGAGCTAGCCAAAAATCTTTTGTAGTTTTCTGTCAGTTGAACCTTTCTAATTTTCTATTCTAAAACTCCAACCCCTCTTCCACTTGTCTCCTCTCAGAGAAGACCTCATCTCTATTATCCAAATATAACGAAATAATAAGTTTCCTCACATTCTTGTACCAAAGCTACAAAATAACTGCCTCCATAGTAATTTTTCCTACTTCCTTGCTGCTGCAGTGGAGGAAGTGCCTCTCCTCCCATTTAACCTTATTCACTTTAACTCCATCTTGGACTCTTATAAGTCATCCCACACATTAAATTAACTATAAAGTCCTCTGGGTTCTACTTTCCAGTTCTGTCAAATCCTTTTTATTGTCACAGCCATATTTGTTCTGGCTAGCATCATATTACAGCAGATGTGTAGTCACCTGTCTGTTCTGTCATTCTACTCTTGCTCCCTCCGAAGGCTCACACTGCAGCCAGGGTGATTTTTTGATCAATACGATCTGATAGTATCACTCTTGCTTAATGTCTGTCATTAGCTCCCTGCTGCCCTCAAAATAAAGTCTAAACAACTTAGAATATCTTACAAATTTTGTTTTTGCTTACCTTTTCATTTTTTCTCTTGACAACCTTTCCATTGTATCCATCCTCCAAGTTAATGATTGAATGGCTGAAAATTATTTATCCAGGCACCAAAATACTCAAAGTTACATAAGAGGTGAGTGAATGGATGGAAGGATAGAAATTATGGCAGTAAGGTTTGTGGAATTTTGTTCATGCACACATAGTTTATAAAATGATTTAACTGCAAAGATGGTCTTATTTATGTTTTATAATTAAGTCATGAATTAACTCAAAAAGATCAGCTAAGTCAGAGAAAAAAATATACTTCCAGCAACATGTTAAAATGCATTTGCCAGCCCCATTTGGTAAGCCAAATGTCATCAACTTCAGGATTTTCACTAATAAGCCGTATTTTGAAATGACGCATTTCACAAATACTTTTGAAGTTATTTGCAAATATTTCATAAATAGCTTTCCTTTATCCCGTTAGCTGGTTAAATGGGCAAGGACTTCATGTCTAAAACACCAAAAGCAATAGCAACAAAAGCCAAAATTGACAAATTGGATCTAATTAAACTAAAGAGCTTCTGCATGGCAAAAGAAACTACCGTCAGAGTGAACAGGCAACCTACAAAATGGGAGAAAATTTTCACAACCTACTCATCTGACAAAGGGCTAATATCCAGAATCTACAAAGAACTCAAACAAATTTATAAGAAAAAAACAAACAACCCCATCAACAAGTGGGCAAAGCATATGAACAGACACTTCTCAAAAGAAGACATTTATGCAGCCAAAAAACACATGAAAAAATGCTCACCATCACTGGCCATCAGAGAAACGCAAATCAAAACCACAATGAGATACCATCTCACACCAGTTAGAATGGCGATCATTAAAAAGTCAGGAAACAACAAACAGGTGCTGGAGAGGATGTGGAGAAATAGGAACACTTTTACACTGTTGGTGGGACTGTAAACAAGTTCAACCATTGTGGAAGTCAGTGTGGCGATTCCTCAGGGATCTAGAACTAGAAATACCATTTGACCCAGCCATCCCATTACTGGGTATATACCCAAAGGATTATAAATCACGCTGCTATAAAGACACATGCACAGGTATGTTTACTGCAACACTATTCACAATAGCAAAGACTTGGAACCAACCCAAATGTCCATCAATGATAGACTGGATTAAGAAAATGTGGCACATATACACCATGGAATACTATGAAGCCATAAAAAAGGATGAGTTCATGTCCTTTGTAGGGACATGGATGAAACTGGAAACCATTCTCAGCAAACTATCGCAAGGACAAAAAACCAAACACGGCATGTTCTCATTCATAGGTGGGAATTGAACAATGAGAACACATGGACACAGGAAGGGAAACATCACACTCCGGGGACTGTTGTGGGGTGGCGGGAGGGGGGAGGGATAGCATTAGGAGATATACCTAATGCTAAATGACGAGTTAATGGGTGCAGCACACCAACATGGCACATGTATACATATGTAACAAACCTGCACGTCGTGTGCATGTACCCTAAAACTTAAAGTATAATAATAATAAAAATAAAAATTTAAAAAAAGCCATAAACAACTGCTTTGTATTTGTCACAATTAATACATCTTGAAAGTAGGTGTGTATCTCATTTCCAATGCTGTTTACATAGATCTCTGAATCAGACATGCTTTCAATGAAATACCACTTATTTTTCTGTCTGTGAAGAAATTTTCATCTGAGGAGGTGTTACTGTGTCAAAAGGGCATTTTTATCCAGAAAGTTTGTAATATTATACTGATAAAAACTTACCTCTTTTTAAAAAATTTGTATTATACTTTAAGTTCCAGGGTACATGTATACAACGTGCAGGTTTGTTGCATAGGTATACATGTGCCATGTTGGTTTGCTGCACCCATCAACTCAACTCGTCATTTACATTAGGTATTTCTCCTAATGCTATCCCTCCCCCAGCACCCCACTCCCCGACAGACCCTGGTGTGTGATGCTCCCCACCCTGTGTCCAAGCATTCTCATTGTTCAATTCCCAACTATGAGTGAGAACATGCGGTGTTTGGTTTTCTGTTCCTGTGTTAGATTGCTGAGAATGATGGTTTTCAGCTTCTTCCATGTCCCTGCAAAGGGCATGAACTCATCCTTTTTTATGGCTGCATAGTATTCCATGGTGTATATATGCCACATTTTCTTTATCCAGTCTATTATTGATGGACATTTCGGTTGGTTCCAAGTCTTTGCTATTGTGAATAGTGCCGCAATAAACATACATGTACATGTGTCTTTATAGTAGCATATTTGTCACATTCTGTTCTCAGATGTTGATTCTTTGGGCATACATTCTTATAGTTCCACACCGGAAATTTATTAAGTGAAAATCTTGAAAGACATTAAACCTCATAATCCTCTCATTTTAATTCATCAATGTCATGATAAAATTGTGTTATTTTGGCCCAAAACCCCTGAAAAAAAGGTCAAGACAATGTATTCATCATAGGCTGTTTGTAAGCATAATAATTATTGTTATAAAAATAATTCCTAAGGAACAGATGATACAAATTAAAACCCGAAGTAGCTATATGAGGTAGTAACAGATTATACTGAAAACTCCATATTCTCCTAAGAATACTTTCATAGGGGCATGGGTCATTGCAACATGCAGAAACCATCTTTAAAAGTAAGTAGATGATTCATAAAAGTTTTGTTATCTAGGCATTTCAGCGTACATCTCTTTCCAGTCTCAAAGAAAATCTTTGATAACTTGTACAGGGAGATTAAATTGAAATGTACTCCTTGGACACCTGGGCTTTGCAGGTATCTCTGCCCTGGCTGGTTACCAAAGGTGATTTCACACCATAACATACCAAGGCAATTTGTGTGTGTGCACGAATGTGTGTGTGTGTGTGTGTGAGAGAGAGAGAGAGAGAAAGAGAAAGTGGAAGATACAGAGGGAAAGAACGGGAGAGAGAGAGAATGCACATGAATGAGTGACTGGAACGCTGAAGAGGCAGCTCCATAGAACTGTAATTTGATTGACAATAGACAAAGTTAAAAAGTATAAAGTTTCTGGGTTGGGCGTGGTGGCTCACCCCTGCAATCCCAGCACTTTGGGAGGCTGAGGCGGGTGGTCAGGAGTTCAAGACCAGCCTGGCCAAGATGGTGACACCTTGTCTCTACTAAAAATACAAAAAAAATTAGCCAGGCCTAGTGGCAGGCACCTGTAATTCCAGCTACTCGGGAGGCTGAGGCATAGAATTGCTTGACCCCTGGAGGTGGAGGTTGCTGTGAGCCTAGATCGTGCCAGTGCACCACAGCCTGGATGACAGAGCCAGACTACATCTCAAAAAAAAAAAAAAAGTGTAAAGTTTCTATGAAAGCATAGGATATGGAAACTGGCAGAGCAAGTTCTATAAAGAATATGACACAATGAATTATTCTTCTAGGATTCTATATTTCTAGAGTTTTTCTCCAGCCCCATTGCAGCTGCTGCTCCATGACTTACACAGAATGAGGACTCCACCAGGTACAAGAGGCTTGCTTTTGCCCTTCTGAGGCAATTACTGGTATTCATCCTTCACCATTATAGAGATAATGAAAGGGTGCTTATCTGTGCACTGGGTGCATCTAGCTACTGCCAAACAGCCTGTAATGTTCCTGAATGCTCCCATGAATGTGAGTGAAGCAAAGATTGATTTCCCAGTCAGAGCTTTACTTAGCTGCCTCACACTTCAGGTTGCTAGGGTCTAGTTTCATATTTACCTTGTCTTTTCAGCCTCTGGACCACCATGTTAGTTATGCAGAGTTTTTCATTAAAAAAATTGTTCAAATCATAGGACATTGCAGTGTTACAATGTATAAAAAACAAATTAAAAAATTAGCTGAGTGTGGTGGTGGGCGCCTGTAATCCCAGCTACTCGGGAGGCTGAGGCAGGAGAATCACTTGAACTCGGGAGCCGGAGGTTGCAGTGAGCAGAGATCGCGCCACTGCACTCCAGCCTGGGCGACAGAGCGAGACTCTCTCAACAAACAAACAAACAAAAAACGAAAAACAAAACTTGCTCTTTTTTCTCACTTACTTGTCTTTGTTTCAGGTTTAGACCTTCACAGGAGCGTCCTCCATGATGCTTTCTGCATTCTGACTTGTCTGTTTCTTCTCCCATATTCTCTCCATTCATTTCCTCTTCAAGTCTCAGTCTGGAGATCCCAAACTGCAGTTTCCCAAAGGATAAGGCATTGGTCCCTTAGGTTTCATTTTCCTTATTGCATATTTAAGCCCAGCTCAGGTTGGAGTCAGATGCATGTAACTGTTTTCTTTGCCTCCTCACTTGCAGGTTTAAGAGATTGGGTAAATAAATAATTGAGGAAGAGGCTTCAAGCTGCAATCAGTTTCCCACCAGGAGGCACTGTGGTCTGGTCTCTTTATTTATTAAGTCCCTTTCAAGGGAAAATACCTTGCAAATATGCTTCTGTTTTTTTTCAGGAGATAATTCCATACCAAAAAAAAATATGATTATAATACTTATTATTGCTATTATTAAAAATGGTAATTGTTTATCAAAATTAGCCAACCCCACTCCCTATCGTATGAAAAGCTTTTTTTTTTTTTTTTTTGCTTTCTTTTCTTTGTTTGCTTTTTGCTTTTTCTTCTGTCTCACATGTGGTTGGCCGCATTTCCCAGGAATCACACTATTGCACTAGCCCAGCGATATGGTTTGGCTATGTCCTCACCCACATCTCATCTTGAATTGTAACTTCCATAATTCCCACATGTTATGAGAGGGACCCAGTGGGAGAAAACTGAATCACGGGAGCGGTTTACCCCATATTCTCATGGTAGTGAATAAATCTCTTGAGATCTGATTTTTTTTAAACTTTTTTTATCTTCAGATTCCATCATTTATCAGCTCTGTGGCCTTGGGAAAGTTTCTGTAAACTTTTTTTTTTATACTTTAGGTTCTAGGGTACATGTGCACAATGTGCAGATTTGATAAATAGGTATACATGTGTCATGTTGGTTTGTTGCACCCATCAACTCCTCATTTACATTAGGTATTTCTCCTAATGCTATCCCTGTCCCAGGCCCCCACTCCCCGACAGGTCCCGGTGTGTGATGTTCCCTGCCCTATGTCCAAGTGTTCTCATTGTTCAATTCCCACCTATGAGTGAGAACATGCGGTGTTCGGTTTTCTGTCCTTTTGAGAGTTTGCTGAGAATGATGGTTTCCAGCTTCATCCATGTCCCTGAAAAGGACATGAACTCATCCTTTTTTATGGCTGCATAGTATTCCATGGTGTATATGTGCCACATTTTCTTTATCCAGTCTATCATTGATGGGCATATGGGTTGGTTCCAAGTCTTTGCTATTGTGAATAGTGCCGCAATAAACATACAAGTGCATGTGTCTTTATAGTAGCATGATTTATAATCCTTTGGGTATATACCCAGTAATGGGATGGCTGGGTCAAATGGTATTTCTAGTTCTAGATCCTTGAGGAATTGCCACACTGTCTTCCACAAGAGTTGCACTAATACACACTCCCAACAGTGTAAAAGTGTTCCTATTTCTCCGCATCCTCTCCAGCATCTGTTGTTTCCTGACTTTTTAATGATCGCCATTCTAACTGGCATGAGATGGTATCTCATTGTGGTTTTGATTTGCATTTCTCTGAAAAGCAGTGATGATGAGCATTTTTTCATGTGTCTGTTGGCTGCATAAATGTCTTCTTTTGAGGTGTGTTCATATGCTTTGCCCACATTTTGATGGGGTTGTTTTTTTCTTGTAAATTTCTTTGAGTTCTTTGTAGATTCTGGATATTAGCACTTTGTCAGAGGGATACATTGCAAAAATTTTCTCTCATTCTGTAGGTTGCCTGTTCACTCTGATGGTAGTTTCGTTTGCCATGCAGAAGCTCTTTAGTTTAATTAGATCCCATTTGTCAATTTTGGCTTTTGTTGCCATTGCTTTTGGTGTTTTACTCATGAAGCCCTTGCCCATGCCTATGTCCCAAATGGTATTGCCTAGGTTTTCTTCTAGAGTTTTTATGGTTTTAAGTCTAACATTTAAGTATTAAACCCATCTTGAATTAATTTCTGTATGAGGTATAAGGAAGGGATCCAGTTTCAGCTTTCTACATATGGCTAGCCAGTTTTTCCCAGCACCATTTATTAAATAGGGAATCCTTTCCCCATTTCTTGTTTTTGTCAGGTTTGTCGAAGATCAGATGGTTGTAGATGTGTGGTGCTATTTCTGAGGACTCTGTTTTGTTCTGAGGACTCTCTGTTTTGGTACCAGTACCATGCTGTTTTAGTTGCTGTAGCATTGTAGTATAGTTTGAAGTCAGGTAGCGTGATGCCTCCAGCTTTGTTCTTTTGGCTTAGGATTGTCTTGGCAATGTGTGCTCTTTTTTGGTTCCATATGAACTTTAAAGTAGTTTTTTCCAATTCTGTGAAGAAAGTCATTGGTAGCTTGATGGGGATGGCATTGAATCCATAAATTACCTTGGGCAGTATGGCCATTTTCACAATATTGATTCTTTCTATCCGTGAGCATGGAATGTTCTTCCATTTGTTTGTGTCCTCTTTTATTTCAATGAGAAGTGGTTTGTAGTTCTCCTTGAAGAGGTCCTTCACATCCCTTGTAAGTTGGATTCCTAGGTATTTTATTCTCCTTGTAGCAATTGTGAATGGGAGTTCACTCATGATTTGGCTCTCTGTTTGTATGTTATTGGTGTATAGGAATGCTTGTGATTTTTGCACATTGTGAATTTTGCACATTGTGATTTTGCACTCAGGATGGTTGCATCCTGAGACTTTGCTGAAGTTGCTTATCAGCTTAAGGAGATTTGGGGCCGAGATGATGGGGTTTTCTAAATATACAACCATGTCATCTCTGCAAACAGGGACAATTTGACTTCCTCTTTTCCTAAGTGAATACCCTTTATTTCTTTCTCTTGCCTGATTGCCCTGGTCACAACTTCCGACACTATGTTGAATAGGATTGGTGAGAGAGGGCATCCTTGTATTGTGCCAGTTTTCAAAGGGAATGTTTACAGTTTTTGTCCATTCAGTATGATATTGGCTGTCAGTTTGTCCTAAATAGCTCTTATTATTTTGAGATACGTTCCATCAATACCTAGTTTATTCAGAGTTTTTAACATGAAGGCCTGTTGAATTTTGTTGAAGGCCTTTTCTGCATCTATTGAGATAATCATGTCGTTTTTGTTGTTGGTTCTATTTATGTGATGGATTCTGTTTATTGATTTGCATATGTTAAACCAGCCTTGCATCCCAGGGATGAAGCTGACTTGATCATAGTGGATAAGCTTTCTGATGTGCTGCTGGATTTGGTTTGCCAGTATTTTATTGAGGATTTTTGCATGGATGTTCATCAGGGATATTGGTCTAAAATTATCTTTTTTTGTTGTATATCTGCCAGGCTTGGTATCAGGATGATGCTGGCCTCATAAAATGAGTTAAGGAGGACTCCCTCTTTATTGACTGAAATAGTTTCAGAAGGAATGGTACCAGCTCCTCTTTGTACCTTTGGTAGACTTCGGCTGTGAATCCGTCTGGTCCTGGACTTTTTTGGTTGGTAAGGTATTAATTATTGCCTAAATTTCAGAGCCTGTTATTGGTCTATTCAGAGATTCAACTTCTTCCTGCTTTAGTCTTGGGAGGGTGTGTCCTAGCACCATTTATTAAATAGGAAATCCTTTCCCCATTGCTTATTTTTGTCAGGTTTGTCAAACATCAGATGGTACTAGATGTGTGGTGTTATTTCTAAGGCCTCTGTTCTGTTCCATTGGTTTATATGTCCAGGAATTTATCCATTTCTTATAGATTTTCTAGTTTATTTGCATAGAGGTGTTTATAGTATTCTCTCATGGTAGTTTGTATTTCTGTGGGATCGGTGGTGATCCTCTTTTCATTTTTTATAGCGTCTATTTGATCCTTCTCTCTTTTCTTCTTTATTAGTCTTGCTAGCAGTCTATCAATTCTGTTGATCTTTTCAAAAAACCAGCTCCTGGATTCATTGATTTTTTGAAGGGTTTTTTGTGTCTGTCTCCTTCAGTTCTGCTCTGATCTTAGTTGTTTCTTGCCTTCTGCTAGCTTTTGAATGTGTTTGCTCTTGCTTCTCTAGTTGTTTTAATTGGGATGTTAGGGTGTTGATTTTAGATCTTTCTTGCTTTCTCTTGTGAGCATTTAGTGCTATAAATTTCCTCTACATACTGCTTTAAATGTGTCCCAGAGATTCTTGTACATTGTGTCTTTGTTCTCATTGGTTTCAAAGAACAGCTTTATGTCTGCCTTCATTTCGTTATGTACCCCGTAGTCATTCTGGAGCAGGTTGTTCAGTTTCCATGTAGTTGAGTGGTTTTGAGTGAGTTTCTTAATCCTGAGTTCTAATTTGATTGCACTGTGGTCGGAGAGACAGTTTGTTATAATTTCTGTTCTTTTACATTGTTGAGGAGTGCTTTACTTCCAATTATGTGGTCAATTTTAGAATAAGTGCAATGTGATGCTGAGAAGAATGTATATTCTGCTGATTTGGGGTGGAGAGTTCTGTAGATGTCTATTAGGTCTGCTTGGTGCAGAGCTGAGTTCAATTCCTGGATATCCTTGTTAACTTTCTGTCTCATTGATCTGTCTAATATTGACAGTGGGGTGTTAAAGTCTCCCATTATTATTGTGTGGGAGTCTAAGTGTCTTTGTAGGTCTCCAAGGACTTGATTTATGAACCTAGGTGCTCTTGTATTGGGTGCATATATATTTAGGATAGTTAGCTCTTCTTGTTGAATTGATCCCTTTACCATCATGTAATGGCCTTGTCTCTTTGATCTTTGTTGGTTTAAAGTCTGTCTTATCAGAGACTAGGATTGCAACCCCTGCTTTTTTTTGCTTTCCATTTTCTTGGTAGATCTTCCTCCATCCCTTTATTTCAGCCTATGTGTGTCTCTGCATGTGAGATGGGTCTCCTCAATACAATACACTGATGGGTCTTGACTCTTTATCCAAGTTGCCAGTCTGTGTCTTTTAATTGGGGCATTTAGCCCATTTACATTTAAGGTTAATATGGTTATGTGTGAATTTGATCTTGTCATTACAATGTTTGCTGGTTATTTTGTCCATTAATTGATGCAGTTTCTTCACAGCATCAGTGGTCTTTACAATTTGGCATGTTTTTGCAGTGGCTGGTACTGGTTGTTTCTTTCCATGTTTAGTGTTTCCGTCAGGAGCTCTTGTAAGGCAGGTATGGTGGTGACAAAATCTCTCAGCATTTGCTTCTCTGTAAAGGATTTTATTTCTCCTTCACTTATGAAGCTTAGTTTGGCTGGATATGAAATTCTGGGTTGAAAATTCTTTTCTTTAACAATGTTGAATATTGGCCCCCACTCTCTTCTGGCTTGTAGGGTTTCTGCTGAAAGATCTGCTGTTAGTCTGGTGGGCTTCCCTTTGTGGGTAATCCGACCTTTCTCTCTGGCTGTGCTTAATATTTTTTCCTTCATTTCAACCTTGGTGAATCTGACAATTATGTGTCTTGCAGTTGCTCTTCTTGAGGAGTATCTTTGTGGTGTTCTCTGTATTTCCTGAATTTGAATGTTGGTCTGCCTTGCTAGGTTGGAGAAGTTCTCCTGGATAATATCCTGAAGAGTGTTTTCCAACTTAGTTCCATTCTCCCTGTCACTTTCAGGTACACCAATCAAACATAGATTTGGTCTTTTCACATAGTCCCATATTTCTTGGAGGCTTTGTTCATTTCTTTTTACTCTTTTTTCTCTAAACTTGGGTTCTTGCTTTATTTCATTAATTTGATCTTCAATCACTGATACCCTTTCTTCCACTTGATTGAATTGGCTATTGAAACTTTGCATGCATCACGAAGTTCTCTTGCCATGGTTTTAGCTCCATCAGGTCATTTAAGGTCTTCTTTACCCTGTTTATTCTATTTAGCCCTTCGTCTAACCTTTTTTTCAAGGTTTTTAGCTTCCTTGTGATGGGTTAGAAGATATTCCTTTAGCTTGGAAAAGTATGTTATTACCGACCTTCTGAAACCTCCTTCTGTCAACTTGTCAAAGTCATTCTCCATCCATCTTTTTTCTGTTGCTGGCGAGGAGCTGCGATACTGTGGTGTAGAAGAGGTGCTCTGGTTTTTAGAATTTTCAGCTTTTCTGCTCTGGTTTCTTCCCATTTTTGTGGTTTTATCTACCTTTCATCTTTGATGTTGGTGACCTACAGATGGGATTTTGGTGTAGATGTCCTTTTTGTTGATGTTGATGTTTTTCCTTTCTGTTGGTTTGTTTTCCTCCTAAGAGTCAGGTCCCTCAGCTGCAGGTCTGTTGGAGTTCGCTGGAGGTCCACTCAAGACCCTGTTTGCCTGGGTATCACCAGTGGAGGCTGCAGAACAGCAAATATTGCAGAAGAGCAAATATCGTTGCCTGATCCTTCCTCTAGAAGCTTCATCATAGAGGCGCACCCGCCTTTATGAGGTGTCTGTCGGCCTCTACTGGCAGGTGTCTCCCAGTTAGGCTACACAGGGGTCAGGGACCCACTTGAGGAGGCAGTCTGTCTGTTCTCAGAGCTCAAATGTCAGGCTGGGAGCACCACTGCTCTCTTCAGAGCTGTCAGACAGGGACACTTAAGTCTGCAGAAGTTGTCTGCTGCCTTTTGTTCAGCTATACCCTGCTCACAGAGGTGGAGTCTGTAGTGTCAGTAAGGCTTGCTAAGCTGCAGTGGGCTCCACCCAGTTCGAGCTTCCTGGCCACTTTGTTTACCTACTCAAGCCTCAGCAATGGCAGATGCCCCTCCCTTAGCCAGGTTGTTGCCTCGTAGTTCGATCTCAAACTGCTGTGCTAGCAGTGAACAAGTCACCGTGGGTGTGGGACCAGCCGAGCCAGGCACGGGAGAGAATCTCCTTGTCTGTTAGTTGCTAAGACCTTGCGAAAAACGCAGTATTTGGGTGGAAGTGTCTCGTTTTTCCAGGTGCAGTCTGCCATGGCTTCCCTTGACTAGGAAAGAGAAATCGCCTGACCCCTTGTGCTTCCCGGGTGAGGTGATGCCCCGGCCTGCTTTGGCTTGCCCTTCATGGGCTGCACCCACTGTCCAACCAGTCCCATTGAAATGAACCTGGTACTTCAGTTGGAAATGCAGAAATCACCCATCTTCTGCGTTGATCACGCTGGGAGCTGCAGACTGGAGCTGTTCCTATTCGGCCATCTTGCTATGTAAACTCAAGATCTGATGATTTTATAAGGGGAAACCCCTTTCACTTGGCTCTCATTCTCTCTTGCCTGCCACCATGTAAGATGTGACATTCACCATCCCCCATGATGTGATGGGGGACTTTTGCCTCCCCAACCACATGGAGCTGAGTCCATTAAACCTCCTTCTCTTTATAAATTACTCAGTCTCAGGTATGTTTATTTCAGTAGTACAAAAACGGACTAACAGAAAAAATTGGTACCAGTAGGGTGGGACACTGCTGTAAAGATACCTGAAAATGTGGAAGCAGCTTTGGAACTGAGTAACAAGGAGATGTTGGAAGAGTTTGGAGGGCTCTGAAGAAGACAGGAAAATGTGGGAAAGTTTGGAACTGCATAGAGACTTGTTGAATGGCTTTGACCAAAATGCTAATAATGATATGGACAATGAAATCCAGGCTGAGGTGGTCTCAGATGGAGATGAGGGACTTGTTGGGAACTATAGTAAAGGTGACTCTTGTTATGTTTCAGAGATGAGACTACTGACATTTTGCCCCTGCCCTAGATATTTGTGGAACCCTGAACTTGAGAGAGATGATTTAGGGTATCTGGTGGAAGAAATTTCTAAGCAGCAAAGCATTCAAGAAGTGACTTGGGTGCTGTTAAAAGCATTCCGTTTTAAAAGGGAAACGGAGCAAAAAAGTCAGAAAATTTGCACCTGATGATGTGACAGAAAAGAAAAACCCATTTTCTGAGGAAAAATTCAAGACAGCTACATATATTTGTATAAGTAACTACGAGCCAAATGTTAATCACCAAGACAATGGGGGAAATGTCTCCAGAGCATGTGAAAGACCTTTGTGACAGCCCCTCCCATCACAGGTCCAGAAGACTGGCAGGAAAAAATGGTTTTGTGGGCTGGGCCCAGGGCCTTCCTGCTGTGTGCATCATAGTGACTTGGTGCCCTGTGTCCCAGCTGCTCTAACCATGGCTAAATGGAGCCAAGGTACAGCTCTGGTCATGCTTCAGAGTGTGCAAGCCCCAAGTCTTGGCAGCTTCCATGTGGTTTTGAGCCTGTGGGTGCACAGTAGTCAAGAATTAAGGTTTGGGAACCTCTGCCTGGATTTCAGAGGATGTATGGAAATGCCTGGATGTCCAGGCAGAAGTTTGCTGCAGGGGCTGAGCCCTCATTGAGAACCTGTGCTAGGGCAGTGCAGAAGGGAAATGTGGGGTCAGAGCCCCAACACAGAGTCTCTACTGGGGTACTGCCTAGTGGAGCTGTGAGAAGACAGCCACTGTCCTCCAGAATGGTAGATCCACTGACAGCTTGCACCATGCACCTGGAAAAGCCGCAGACACTCAACGCCAGCCCATGAAAGCAGCCAGGAGGGAGGCTGTACCTGCAAAGCCACAGGGGTGGAGCTGCCCAAGACCATGGGAACCCACCTCTTGCATCAGCATGGCCTGCATGTGAGACATGGAGTCAAAGGAGATCATTTCGAGACTTTAAGATTTGACTTACCCACTGGATTTTGGATTTGCATGGGGTCTTTAGCTCTTTTGTTTTGGCCAGTTTTTCCCATTTGGAGTGGGGGTATTTATCTAATGCCTGGATCCTTATTGTATCTAGGTAGTAACAAACTTGCTTTTGATTTTACAGGCTTATAGGCAGAAGGGACTTGCCTTGTCTCATATGACACTTTGGACTGTGGACTTTTGAGTTAACCCTGAAATGAGTTAAGACTTTAGGGGACTGTTGGGAAGGCATGGTTGGTTTTTATATGTGAGGACATGAGATTTTGGAGGGGCCAGGGGCAGAATGATATGGTTTGGCTGTGTGCCCACCCAAATCTCATCTTGAATTGTAGCTCCCATAATTCCCATGTGTTGTGGGAGGAACTCTGTGGGTGGTAATTGAATCATGCGGATGATTTCCTCCATACTGTTCTCATGGTAGTGAATAAGTCTCACAAGAGCTCATGGTTTTATAGGGGGTTTCCCCTTTTGCTTGGCTCTCATTTTATCTTGCCTGCTGTCATGTAAGATGTGCGTTTTGACTTCCACCATGATGGTGAGCATCCCCAGCTACATGGAACTGTGAGTCCATTAAACCTTTCTCTTTATGAATTACCCAGTCTTGGGTATGTCTTTATCAGCAGCATTAAAACGGACTAATACACCCAGATATGCTAGCACCAGTGAAATCATTTGATTTTCTGTCACTTTTTCTTTGAAGGAAAATTGGGAGTCACAGAATTTGCCAGTTTATCAGAAATAAGGATAATGGACATTTCATGCACCTCAATAAATAAAGGATAAGGAAAAAGATCTCCATCCCATTTGCCCGATTTTTATCTCTTCTCTTGGATTGTAGAATTTATTGATTCCATTAAAATATATTTCGTACCTGCTGTATACCAGGCTTATGGCCAGATATTGAGAAAGACTTAAAATAAATAATTACATTAAAAATTAAGGTAGGCATACAGATATTCAGAAGTTTATGACCCAGTTGTAGAGTATACTTAAAAACATAAACATGGTTCTTTCTGGGATGGTGGCTTAGTTAAGAGTATTTCCTTCTCCTATGTCTTATTAAAATAATTATAACATCATCGTTTAGAAAGCACATGTATAATTCTTTCTAAAAGAACCAATTAGCAAACAGAAAAGTAATCTGGAGCAAAATTAAAAATATTCGCAATATAAAAAAAGAGCAAAGCAGTTAAAAACAAAAGAAAATATAACCCTTGAAGCATCTCTCAATTAAAAAACAATAATTTTTAGAAAACGGTGACCAAGACAACCTTGAACTTCCCTTCAGCTTGACTGAACATTAGACAGGCTTCTTTATGAAGCTAGGTTCCTGGCCTCCCTTTTCTTGGAGTATTTTATTTAGAAAACTTGTAAATTCTTTCTTTGCTCTTTGACATGTAAATCATTCAAAAAGCCTCTTGCCACTTTTGTGACCTAGTACTATCTTTCTCAAAGCCCTTGGTGAATATCTCAAAGACCTCTAAAATTTAATCATCAAGAAAGGTAATTCCCCTATGTCCCAGTCTTTGTGAGAAGGTAGGAGCCTAAATTCAGTGGATTTCTTGCTCCAATTTGCAAAATTACCTCCAGTTATGAAGATATGAGAAAGTTTACTTTTCCTTTGAATAAGGCCAATTAGCAAACACAGATGGCCTACAATTTCCCTGATCCTAGCTCTTTAAAATAGCCTTGAATTAAGTCTTCCTTCCCTATTTAATATTGGCTAGTGTAATTTTTGTTCCAACAACATGTATTATCTATATTTTGTGATACTAAATAATATCTAAGCTATATCAAATAAGAAAAAACTGGCATTAAGAAAAGAACAAAAGAAAAATTTTAAAAAAGAAAAGCACATAATGGACCAAGTAAGATCATGTTGGAAAGTAAAGATAATCACATTTCAGTGCATCTTTGGGTAATGGAATGTGGGGAGCAGCTACAGTATGGATTTTTAGCAAAAATGCCCTTTTAATTCTAATAAATATTTTCTTTTGAAAAACATCCTATTTACTCTGGTAACTTCAGGGAGTCCTGAACAACTGGGGAGATTTCCACTAATATACCAAAATTTAACATGTAGGAAAAGGAACTCTGATCTACCACCCCAACCCCAAACATAAAAAACACATACAACAAAAACAATAATAAAAAGAGAACAGGAGGTGAAATAAAACATAATTGAAGATAAGAAATTATAGAACAGTTGAATTAATAAACATGTTTTAATACTTTTAATCAATGTAAATAATACAAAATCATTAAATATATAAAAGGAAAAGCACAAACATAAAATTAAAAATAATAAACATAATAATATATAGAAAGTCAACCAAAATATCAGTATGTCTCTCTCAATTTCAAACATAGTTTTATAAACTAAAAAGTCTTAATAAAACAATATAAAGCATCAATATTGACTGAAGAAGTAGACAATCTCAGTAGATTAATCATTTAGTAGAAAAATGAAAATATTCTATAAAATCTGTTCCCTCTGCCTTCAAAATACCTAAAATGGGCAGATTTAGTGGTGCTTTCTTTTAAACATTGGCAAAACCAAATCATACCCTTGTTCTACAAGCTTTTCCAGAAAACATGACTTTGAGAATTCAGTAAGAGTTCAACATATGAAAATGTGACAAATAAAGTAAAAATCCTCAATAGATTGAATAAGAAATTTTGTAATATTATCTTAACAAATATTCATTGAATCATTGCATTGAATAAAAAGCTTCTCTAAACAGAGAAAAGAATATGAAAAACTGTAATACACACTCTAGCCTCTTAGACTTGGAGAAGAAGACATGTAAACATAAAATAATAATATTATAATTCAAAATAATAAATGATTAAGTGCCAGTATGATTTATATAAAACATACATGTAATAGGAGCTCAGAAACAGAGATGATTATACATGAAAAGGTGATTTGGGCTGCATCATTTGACACTTCTCCATAAGAGTCAAAACATTCATATTGCTTACCCTAATAATCCACTGGTGGGAAAAGGTGTTGCACTTTATGCCTACAAAGCATTGCTGTACATGCATACAGGAAGCCTTGTAGCATAATATAAACAATGCAAAAATAGAGCAGAATATTTTAAGAGCATGCGTCACTGACCCAGACAATATTGAAAATTAAGCAATAAGTGTGTCTTTGCTAATTCCAGCCCTGTTACCTGCTACTTTCTCAATACTGGTGTTTAGTGTCCAAGAAAATCCTCTCAGATATCCAATTCTCCATTGGTTGTTTACATGTTAGTCTATATTTAGTCACTATGCAAATATTCCCTGAGGTTTAGTTTTGCTTATGAAATAAGATATTTTGTCTTTTATTAAAGCAGCATTAACATCAGAAATTAGGTAGCAGATACGTTTTGGGGAATATTTAGAGGAGGTAAAAGAATAGACATTTCTCTCCTTATACACATGATAAATGGCCTCTTCCTCTCCTGCCTGGGAAAGAAAACACAGGGCTTAGTAGTCACAGTTTAGACTCTTAGGCCAGATGGCCTAGGTTCAAATTCTAACTCCACCATTAATTAGCTGCATGACCTTGGATATTCTTAACATCTTAATATCTGAGTTCCCTCATCTGAAAAATGTGGCAAATAATAGTATTGGCAATATAGTTTACATCTCAGTCCTGTGAAGGTTCAATGAAGTAAAATGCCTAGAACTGTTCTTGGCAGAAACTAATCCCTTACAAAGAAGTAATAGTAATCCCAGTGATATCACTAGTAATGCTAGTTCACACATATTGTTCACACATGCAGCGTGATTAACAGTAGTAATCCCCCACCCCCAATACACTCTTCAAAACATTCATTGACATCCTACATGTGGTTCTAATATGATGTGATCAAATTTTAATGTGGGCTTTAGTGCTTTCTTGCTGCCCACACAATAGCATTCTAATTGCTCTACCATAATTGTTGCTCTTAAAATGCTCTTTGAGAAGCATGTTGACATGCCTCCATAGTTACCTGAGCATTTAATTAATACACACTGATGGGGTGGTTCTATCCTGAGTAACAGCTTCACTGCATCACGTGTTGCCAGGAAACACCAAGATAACCTCATCCTGTCTCACTAGATGAGCAGCCCTGGGTGCTGGAGAAGCACTATTCTTTTACAGAACTATGTTTCTTCACATGCTGTGATCTGGCCTCAGAATAAAAAGCTCTCAAGCCTGCCTCTTCTAATTTGATGTTACCACATGGTAGAGAAGATGGATCACAAAGGCAGCATAAAATGTTTGAATTGAGGGCAGCCAGCTGTTTACTGCTACTTATCAGCTTCCGGAAAAGAGACTATGGAGCTGCCCTCTCTTTTTCCTCACATACATAAAACTTGATGAGATATTAACATTTAAATTACAGCACTCTTTATTTTTATTCTGTTCTAGAAGCTCTGAAATGCATTTGACTGTTTCAAACCGCCTTCTGGGGAAGCTTAATAATACCTCCAGCATTCTTTTTGTGGTCTTTATTAACCTGGGTACCTGCTGTCACTCCCCAAGTCCACAGAAGAGAATTTGATGATTGCTGAAGCCCTAGGCTCTTGTTTGCCTAAATATCCCTAACATGTCTAATCTTCCAGGTACTTCAGTCTGACAACTTGGACCAAATGAAAGGTAAAATATTAGCTGCCCTCCTCTTATGAATTCCATGGACACTTAGGCCCTCACCTAAGCCTCTTGTTTTCTTCCTGTTGATGAGTCTGGAACGTGAGCACGAGATGCACTTTTAATTAGCAAGAGGATGAAGCTACCCTGTCACTGGGCCTGTTAACAGTGATCGGAGAATACTGTTTTCTACCAAGAAAACCCTCCTACTCATGCACGCCACCATTATGCCCGCCTTCTGCCCTGCAGGTTGCCCTGTCCTCTCTAGCTCTTCTCTTAAAATCCAGATCAAATTTTGCCTCTTTTCTGCAGCTTTTTCTAACACTTCTTTACCTCTACTCTACCTTCTGAATTCTCAAAGAATGAATTACTCCCTTTTTTCTTCTCAAAGAATTATATGTATAACTAACAGATTTATTAGCTTGGATCTATTTCTGCCTTATCTTTTAGTCTGTGAAGACATATGTACAGTTGTCCCTCAGTATCCACAAAATATTCATTCCAGGACACCCTGTGGATACCAAAATTTGCAGATGCCGAAGTGCCTTCTACAAAATGGCATAGTATTTGCATATAACCTATGAACAACTTCCTGTATACTTTAAATCATATCTAGATTACTTATCATAGCTAATTATTGTAAATGCTATGTAAATGGCTGTTATACTATATTCTTTTATTAGTGTTATTTTTTATTCTTTTTAAAAATATTTTTGACTCATGCTTGGTCAAATCTGCAAATGTGGAATCTACAGATGTGGAGGCAGAATTAAAGTGAACTAAACTAATAAAGTGAAATGAAAATTAAAGTGAACTAAAATAAATGGAGTTTTAAAATACTGAAAATGTCCTTCTAGTTTTCACCACCTGAGAAAAAAGCTCACCTGAATAAATCACCAAAGCACTATTTAGTTACATTACAATAATAACAGTGTTTGACCAAGATTCAAGTCTGCTGTAGGTATGGAGTAAGTGCTTCTTAAGTAATTACTTTATCCTTAAAACCACTGTGATAGTTTCAAATGATCCTTCACAGGCAAAATTAGAGGGCATCAGCAAAGTGGTTGACTAGAAGCTTCTAGTACCTTTTCCTCCCACAAAAAAAACAAAATAACAAATAAAAACTTACATTTTGATCAACATAACTAAAGGAGAGCTCCAAAGAACAGCAAAAAGTAGCAAAAATCTACTGGAGCCTAGCCCCAGGCTGGCCACATAGGAAAGGGAAGAAAACACTTTGTCTCTGCCACCCCACCTGCCCAGCTGGGATCAGCTTGGAAGCAGGAGGGATTCTTTCCTACATAAAAAGGTAAGCAAGAGAATCCCAACAGCTCCCATCACCACTGTGAACACCTTTAGTTTTTGCTAGCAAATATTCCCGCAGTCCTCACAGGCTCTAAGCCCAGCTAAGGAAGCTCCCCAGAATCCACACATTGAGATACCCCAGAGAAGAAGCCAATGTACTGCTCTGTCCCTCCAAGGCCTCTGCCACTACTGTGATGTGCCGTCTTGGAACTAGAACATCCTGCTTCAGGAGTAGCCATTGCCCATGTCCATCCCTGAGGCTTTGCTGCCATTGTGACATGCCCACTCTGTAGCTTGCCATCCCCTAGCAGAGCCATTGCTATTTCCTGCCCCACTAGGGCCAAGCTATAACAGAGCTGCTCCATCCCCCCCATTCTAGTTGCTGATGTAGCCCTCTCCTTAGAGATGAGCTGAAGTTGTGTCCTGCCCCTAGGATCCTCAGGCCACCCGTACACCAGAGTAGTTGTGCACCTCATACTACAGTCAAGACAGTGCCCTCCTTCTTGGGGTTCCCAGGCTTCCAGCATACCAGAGTAGTAAAACCTCTTCTCCCAGCACCATGGATGAGGCAGCATCTTGTCCTCTGGCGGCTTCAAGCCCCTGGCACACTAGAGTAGCTGTACCCCTTAGTGCCACAGCTGATGAGGTGTACCATATTCCAAGGGTCTGGAGGATATGCTGACCCATGTAGCCACACTCTGCGGGGCTGATCAGACATAGTGCCTTGCATCCCAGGGAATCAGAGTCTTGGTTGTGCTGTGCCACCAGATCCTCCAGGCTGAATAGCCACAGTATCCTGCTTATTTACAATTGGGCTAGCCCCTTGCAGTCTGAGCTGCTGAGATGCCTTACTTCCGTGGAGAAGGTAGTTATTGGTGTGCTGCTTCCCTCCCACCAGGGATCAAGCCACAGTAGTGCCTTGACATTCCTGGGTCCTTGCTGCTACTGCACCTGGCCTCATAGACCCTGGGCCACTGCCATATCCTACCACCCCAAGATCCATAGTTACCATTGTGCAATATGTCATCACCTGGAGCACTGGCTGCTATGCCCTGGTTTGGGTTCTAAATAGCAGCTGAGAACCTCCTCCTCAAAGCCTGAGCATCCAGAACATCATACCTTGTTCCTCAGAGCTGGGTCAAGGCTTTGCCCTGCCTTCCAGGGTCAGAACCACACCTACATCTTAGACCCCTGGGGTCTAACTGCTTGGGTTTGCTCAGTGCAATAGACCACAGCTTAGTGGGAGAATTACATCCATTTCTGTCTTGGAAAGTGAACCTGTACCTTAAGTCCTAGGTGCTACAATAGTTTCACAAGACCCTGAGCCCAGGAACCCAACTCTATAGCTGCTCAGAGCACCTATGACCTGAATCCTTTTGCCAATGCAGCTGTTTGTGGGTTGTGTCAGACATGACAACAAGAAAAATTCCCTCAGTTAAGATACTTTGCTATAGGGAAGGCAAGAACAGGAGGATCCCTAAATCCCTTGCTTTGATAACCTACACAGCCAATACCACTGCCACAAATTCCTGCAGCCTAGACAACTGAGACACTCATAATTCATTGACATTGATTATAACTGAAGAAGCTACATTGAGACTATACCATTGTGCCCACACAGAACCAGAGCCACTGTACCCTGACCAATTGGCACCTTCAGGCCCACAGGCCCATCTGCAGGTGGAAGTCTTCCTCTATGAAAGCCACTTTATAAAATTTGGAAGAAGTGCCAACACTGTGAGATACCCATGCAAAACACAAAAAACATGAAAAAGTAAGGAAACATGACATCATTGAAGGTACACGATAGCTCTTCAGTAACTGACCACAAAGAAATGGAAATTTATAAATTGCCCTCCCACCCCAACAATTTAATGTAATTCTTAAGGGAATTCAGTGAGATACAAGAAAATACAGACAGATAATTTGATGAAACCAGGAAAATAATTTGCTATCTGAATGAGTTATTCAATGAAGAGATAGAAACCATAAAAGAGAACCAAACAGAAATCTTGGAGATGAAGAATTCAATCAATGAAATGAAAAATATCGTAGAGAGCTTTGACAGCAGACTACATCAGACTAGATCATAGAAATAATCTGTGAACTCAAAGATAGGTCTTTTGACATGACTCAACAAGAAAAAAGATGAAAAAGAGTGAAGATGGCTTATGAGAAGTGTGGGCGGCTTTAAGATAACATTTTCATTATTAAAATTTAACAAGAAGAAAAGACAGAGGAAGGAACAAAAAGCTTATTTAATAAAATAATTGCTGTAAACTTCCTAAGTTTTTGGAGAGATATGGACATCCAGATCCATTAATCTCAAAGGTTCCCCAAAAGATATGACTCATAGAGGTACTCTCCAAAGAACATTATAATTAAACTTGAAAAGCCAAAGACAAAGAGATAACTTTAAAAGCAGCAAGTCACATATGAAGGAATCCACATTAGACTGTCAGCAGATTGCTCAGTAGAAACCTTGCAGGCTAGAAGAGAATAAGATGATATGTTCAAAGTGCCAAACAAACAAACAAAAAAACCCGTCAGTCA